>NC_000020.11:3702698-3854213 GCF_000001405.40 Homo sapiens | reverse complement strand
CTGACCTCAAGTGGTCCACCCGCCTCGGCCTCCCAAGTTTGGGGATTACAGGTGTGAGCCACCACACCTGGCCGTTTTTGTTTTGTTTTATTTTGTTTTTAAGAGATGGGGTCTCGGGCTGGGCACAGTGGTTCACGCCTATAATCCCAGCACTTTGGGAGGCCAATTTGGGGGATTAACTGAGGTCGGGAGTTGGAGACCAGACTGACCAACATGGAGAAAATCCCGTCTCTACTAAAAATACAAAAAAAAAAAAAAAATAGCTGGGCATGGTGGCGCATGCCTGTAATCCCAGCTACTCGGGAGGTTGAGGCAGGAGAATTGCTTGAACCTGGGGGCAGAGGTTGCGGTGAGCCAAGATTGCACCATTGCACTCCAGCCTGGGCAACAAGAGCGAAACTCTGTCTCAAAAACAAACAAACAAACAGATGGGGTCTCTGTCACCCAAGTTGGGTGCAGTGGTGCAATAATAGTTCACTGCAGCCTCGAACTCGTGGGCTCAAGCAATCCTCCCGCCTCAGCATCCCCGGTAGCTGGAACTACAAACCTGCGCCACTATGCCCAGCTAATTTTTTTATTTTTTCTAGAGACAGGGTCTCATGATGCTGCCCAGGCTGGTCTCAAACGCCTGGCCTCAAGCGATCCCCCTGCCTCCGCCTGTCAAGTAGCTCGGATGACAAGCACCAGCCAATGTGTCCAGCCACCTTTAATTTCTTTTTTTTTTTTTTGAGACGGAGTCTTTCTCTGTCGCCCAGGCTGGAGTGCGGTGGCGCGATCTCGGCTCACTGCAAGCTCCGCCTCTCGGGTTCACGCCATTCTCCTGCCTCAGCCTCCTGAGTAGCTGGGACGACAGGCGCCCGCCACCACGCCCGGCTAATTTTTTTGTATTTTAGTAGAGACGGGGTTTCACGGGGTTAGCCAGGATGGTCTCGATTTACTGACCTCGTGATGCGCCCGCCTCGGCCTCCCAAAGTGCTGGGATTACAGGCGTGAGCCACCGCGCCCGGCCGCCATCTTTAATTTCTGTAAACATCCTATTTTATTACTGCCTGAGTCTCTCCAAAATTCCTGCAGAACCCGGGCGCGGTGGCTCACGCCTGTAACCCCAGCACGTTGGGAGGCCGAGGCGGATGGATCACGAGGTCAGGAGTTCAATACCAACTTGGCCAAGATGGTGAAACCCCGTCTCTACTGAAAATACAAAAAAATTAGCCAAGCATGGTGGCGGGCGCCTGCAGTCCCAGCTATTCAGGAAGCTGAGACAGAGAATTGCTTGAACCCAAGAGGCGGAGGTTGTAGTGAGCCGAGATCACGCCACTGCACTCCAGCCTGGGCGGCAGAGTGAGACTCCGTCTCAAAAAAAAAAAAAAAAAAAAAAATTCTGCAGAATTTGCTAAAAATGAATTGATGACCACCAGCTACTCAAGAAGCTAGGGCAGGAGGATCGCTTGAGCCCAGCTGTTCGAGGCCAGCCTGGGCAACACAGCGAGACCCTGTCTCTAAAAAAATAAAAATAAAAATAATTGAAGACCAAAAAGAATCAGATCCAGAATACCTAGGGCCCATTTCTTCTCTGCAGGTTGGTCAGCACTGGGAAGGTCTGCATGTACCCCTAGCACATGCGGTGGGGGGATCTGTATGTGACCCTAGTTTCTGTGCCTATAAATGTCCTGGCTCCCTTCCTGGCTCTAAGGCCCTCAAGCTGATAGCAAGAGGGCTATACCTAAACGTGCTGCTGCTTTGGGACACACTGAAAAAATAAAAAGTGAACCCCAACATGATAATAATCGGATCATCCCGCTTTAAAGAAGAAACTGAGGTATGCTTGCTAGTTAGTAGAAGAAGAAAGAACTGAGATCTTCAGGTCAGCTTCTTTCCATGACATGGCTGCAGGCCCACCATTAAAGCCTGCTACACATAGGCCGGGCACGGTGGCTCACGCCTGTAATCCCAGCACTTTGGGAGGCCGAGGCGGGTGGATCACGAGGTCAGGAGATCAAGACCATCCTGGCTAACACGGTGAAACCCCGTCTCTACTAAAAATACAAAAAATTAGCCCGGCGTACTGGCGGGTGCCTGTAGTCCCAGCTACTCGGGAGGCTGAGGCAGGAGAATGGCGTGAACCTGGGAGGCGGAGCTTGCAGTGAGCCAAGATTGCGCCACTGCACTCCAGCCTGGGCGACAGAGCCAGATTCCGTCTCGGGGGAAAAAAAAAAAAAAAAAGCCTGCTACACATACATTCTTTTTTTCTTTTTTGAGACAGAGTTCCAGACTCTTGTTGCCCAGGCTGGAGTACAATGGCACAATCTCGGCTCATCGCAACCTCTGCCTTCCGGGTTCAAGTGATTCTTCTGCCTCAGCCTCCTGAGTAGCTGGAATTACAGACATGCACCACCACACCTGGTTAATTTTGTATTTTTAGTAGAGACAGGGTTTCTCCATGTTGGTCAGGCTGGTCTTGAACTCCTGACCTCAGATGATCTGCCTGCCTTGGCCTCCCAAAGCGCTGGGATTACAGGCGTGAGCCACCATGCCCGGCCCACATACATTCTTAAGATAGGAGACTGAGTTCCATGCCTTGAACTCACTGTGTGTCCTGGGCAAGTTATCAGTTTCCAGACTTCCTCACCCTTAAAACGGCTCAGATAGCAGCTTGTTTTGACAGTACGGTAATTCAGCCTTATAAACTTTTTTTTTTTTTTTTTTTTTTGAGACAGAGTCTCCCTGTCGCCCAGGCTGGAGTGCAGTGGTGTGATCTCGGCTCACTGCAGCCTCCATCTCCCACATTCAAGCAATTCTCCTGCCTCAGCCTCCCGAGTAGCTGGGATTACACGTGCCCACCATCATGCCTGGCTAATTTGTTTGTTTGTTGTTGTTGTTGTTTTTGAGAAAGAGTCTCGCTCTGTTGCCCAGGCTGGAGTGCAGTGGCGTAATCTCGGTTCACTGCAACCTCTGCTTCTCGGGTTTAAGCAATTCTCCTACCTCAGCCTCCCGAGTAGCTGGGATTACGGGTACACGCCACCATGCCTGGATAATTTTTATATTTTTAGTAGAGACGGGGTTTTATATGTTTTAATGTTGGCCAGGCCGGTCCTGAACTCCTGACCCCAGGTGATCTGCCTGCCTTGGTCTCCCAAGTTGCTAGGATTACAGGCGCCAGCCAACGCGCCTGGCCAATTTTTGTATTTTTTAGTAGAGACAGGGTTTCACCATGTTGGCCAGGCTGGTCTCGAACTCTTGACCTCAAGTGATCCTCTTGCCTTGGCCTGCACAGTGCTGAGCCACTGTGGCCGGCCTCTAAGCTTAAATTTTTTTTTTTTTTTTTTTTGAGACGGAGTTTCGCTCTGTCACCAAAGCTGGAGTGCTGTGGTGCAATCTCGGCTCACTGCAAGCTCCACCTCCTGGGTTCACACCATTCTCCTGCCTCAGCCTCCCGAGTAGCTGGGACCACAGGCGCCCGCCACCACACCCGGCTAATTTTTTGTATTTTTAGTAGAGATAGGGTTTCACCGTGTTAGCCAGGATGGTCTCAATCTCCTGAACTCGTGATCCGCCTGCCTCGGCCTCCCAAAGTGCTGGGATTACAGGCGTGAGCCACTGCGCCTGGCCTTTTTTTTTTTTTTTGAAATGGAGTTCACTCTTTTTGCCCAGGCTGGAGTACAATGGCGCGATCTCGGCTCACTGCAACCTCTGCCTCCTGGGTTCAAGCGATTCTCCTGCCTCAGCCTCCCAAGTAGCTGGGATTACAGGCATGAGCCACCACGCCCCGCTAATTTTGTATTTTTAGTAGAGACAGGGTTTCACCATGTTCCGGTCTCGAACTCCCGACCTCAGGTGATCCGCTCACCTCGGCCTCCCAAAGTGCTGAGATTTACAGGCGTGAGCCACCGCGCCCAGCAGCTTAAAAAAATTTCTTTTTTTTTTTTTTTTTTTTTTTTTGAGACAGTCTCGCTCCTTCACCCAGGCTGGAGTGCAGTGGTGCAATCTCGGCTCACTGCAAGCTCCGCCTCCCGGGTTCACACCATTCTCCTGCCTCAGCCTCCCAAGTAGCTGGGACTACAGGCGCCTGCTACCACGCTCGGCTAATTTTTTGTATTTTTAGTAGAGACAGGTTTCACCGTGTTAGCCAGGATGGTCTCGATCTCCTGACCTCGTGATCTGCCCGCCTCGGCCTCCCAAAGTGCTGGGATTACAGGCATGAGCCACCGCGCCCAGCCAGCTTAAAAATTTTTAAGTGCCTCAAATATAAGCAATTGCTGCCAGTTGTTTATGTAGGAGTTACCACAATTTGCAGTTATAGATGTATTTGCTCGTTACTTTTCTGCCGCCCCCATCAGGGAGTGCTGCAGGGAATAAAAGAGACAAGGTCTATGCCACATCCAATTTATATTCTAATGGGGTGGGACAAATAACAGATCAGTAAATTAATACCCAAATAAGAGTTCCAGATAGCAATAAAGGCTCTAAAGAAAGTAAAGCAGGTAATGAGACAGAGCCCCTGGAGACAGGCATGCTACTTGAACTAGGGGGTCAAAGAAGCCTTTCTGAACTAGCGTGCAGAACACAGCTGAGCTGTTCTCAGGCTCTGAGAAGATTGGTGTTTTAGGCAGAGAGCATGGTAAATGCAAAAGTCCTAAAACAAGAATGAGCTTGGCATGTTTGAAGAATAGAAAGCAGGTCAGTGTGGTCTAGGTCAAGAAAGCTAGGGATGGCTGGCTGCGTGACTCACGCCTATAATCCCAGCACTTTGGGAGGCCTAGGCGGGTGGATCACCTGAGCTCAGGAGGTTGAGACCAGCCTCGCCAACATGGTGAAACCCTTTCTCTACTAAAAATACAAAAATTAGCATGGTGGTGGGCGCCTGTAATCCCAGCTACTCGGGAGGCTGAGGCAGGAGAATCGCTTGAACCCAGGAGGCAGAGGTTGCAGTGAGCTGAAATCATCCCATTGCACTCCAGCCTGGGTGACAAGATCAAAACTCCATCATAGGAAAAAAAAAAAAAAAAGCAAGCAAGCTAGGGAAAGGGGCAGAGATTGTCAAGGTCAAGGAGGTGGCAGGGGCCACTCATGTAGAGTGCTGTAGGAAAGGACTCTGGGTTTTAGTTGGAGTGAAACAGGGAACCACTGGAAGGTTCCGGCAGGGAAAGAAGAGGATCTGATTTACATTAAAGACTTCTCTGGTGGTTGTGAGGACTTTGGAGGGGCCAGGATGAAAACTGGGAGACCAGTAAGGAGGCCACAGCCCAGGAGACAGGATGACTATGGTCAGGATGGGAACCACAGAGATGGCAGGAGGCAGCCAGATTCCTGGTGTTTTGAGGGTGTAGGAGATAAGGGAGAGAAAAGAAGCATGACTCCTTGGGCACTGGGTGGATGGAAGGTGCCCTTTTACCAGGCCAGAGAAGCCAGGGGAGGAGCAGTGGCTCAGAAGGGACTCCAGAACTCAGTTCGGAACAAGTGAAGTTTGAGATGCTATTGGATTCCAAGTGGGTTGTCAGGGAGGGAAGGAGGCAGGAGAGGACCAAGTGGGCATCAGGCAGGCATGAGACCTCTCTCAGGAGGCAGTGCTGTAGAGCAGACAGCACCTAAAAGCTGTTGGGCCACCAGACCTTCCTCACAGGGGAAGCAGTCCTGTCACTGGCCTCAGAGCCTCACATGCATGAGTTGCTTTGCCAGCCAGCAGGCCCTGCTACATTCCTCGTGGGGCAAGTACTAATGACAGGTCAGGAGAATCAGGAAGGTGAGGCGGGGGTCCTCTGAGCCTTCAAGAAATTAGCAAAGAACAACTCTATGGGAGTTAATAGATCCCTTTCTCGGCCGGGCGCGGTGGCTCACGCCTGGAATCCCAGCACTTTGGGAGGCCGAGGCAGGCAGATCACTTGAGGTCAGGAGTTTGAGACCAGCCTGGCCAACATGGTGAAACCCCGTCTCTACTAAAAATGCAAAAATTAGCCAGGCATGGTGGCACACACCTGTAGTCCCAGCTACTCAGGAGGCTGAGGCAGGAGAATCTCTAGACCCAGGAGGCAGAGGTTGCAGTGAGCCAAGATTGGACCACTGCGCTCCAGCCTGGGCAAGAGAGTGAGACTCCATTTCAAAAAAAAAAAGACCCCTTTCTCCTTCCTTTCTCATGGCATCAGCCAGGTACCAGAAGGCAGTCAGATGAGGCACTCTTCTGCATTCCAGCTTCAGCCACAGATGGAGGGGAAGGGATGATGTGGCCCAAACAAAAGGAAAGGAAGCCCACATTTGTTCACATTTATGGAGGGCCCATTGTAGACAGGCACATCCTAAGGTTCTTTCAGTTAATCCTTCCCCAATCCCGTGACAGGGAAAGTGTTGCCAAGGTGCACAGCTGGCCAGAGGCTAGCACAGGATTTGAACCCAAAACCTGCTGCCTCACTGCAACTGGTCATACACCTTGCAGGGCACAGAGACCCCTGCAGCGAGACCCACACAGCCACCTGCCTTCAAGCCCAAAGAGGACCCAAGGTCACTTGGCGGGAGGGAGGCTGAGGGTGCACTTAGGTGGAAGCAACATTTAGTCCAGACATTAACCCTGCTTTCACATGGCTGCCACAGGTCCCAGGTCGCTGGCTGTCCTCCTAGATATTTTTGAGGCTTCACGGCTTCCATACAGAGAATCCCTTTTTCGTGTTTTTGGTTTGTTTCATGTTTTCTTGGCACTTCCTTCCCAACTGAGAAGGAAGTAGGTGACAGAGTGTTCCCAATACAGCAAAGTTTCCGACCTGACTGTCCAGAGGCTCTGAGTGCATCCCGGAAATAAACACCCACCCTTCCCAAAGGGACAGGCCTCACAGCCTTGGATCGGATTCCTGGGCGCGACCCAGGTCCGCGGAGGGCGGGGAGGCCGTTTTGAGCTGGTGTCGCCGCCGAGAACTGTCCAGACCCAGCGGAGGGCGGCAGCACTCGACCTCTAGGCGCACCCGGTCGAGGCTCGGCCCCACCTTAGCGTCACCCTGGGCCCGCGGGCGGCAGGAGGAGGTCAGCGGCCGCTGCCCGTCCCCTTCTGGCCCTACCTTTCCCCCAGCCTGAGCAGACGCCCAGCGCCACCTACCCCCTTTTCCCCGGATGCTGGATGCGGCGCCTGGAGCCCTCAGTGTTCCCGAAACTCTTGCGACAGGGCCCGCTCTTCCGGATCCCCGCGCGTCCTGTCCCCTCCTGGGCCCCCCGCGCACCCCAGACCCAGGGCGTCCCGGCGGACTCCGTCCTGCCGCTGCAGCCACCTTCCCTAAAGGCGTCCGTGCGTGCTGAGCCGAAAGGACCCAACGCCCGGGAAGCGATCTTACCTCGGGTACCCCCGGCCCTGAGACCTGGCGACCGCCGCCCGGGGCCCAGGACCCTTCCCGCAGCGAGGAGGCGGGGCGGGCAGAGCGCGCGGCCATTGGCCATGTGGAGGGGCGGGGCTACTCGGCCGCGCGTGGTTGGCTGGCGACGCAGGCGGCTGCGCAGCGGGGACGGTCACTGGGCCTTGGTTTGCGGGTCGGGAAGCGCTAGACTGGGCTCGGAGAACCGACCTGATTTTTTGCTGGGGGCGCGCAGTCTCGAGCAACTTCCAGGGGAAGTCCGGTGTCCGGCCAGAAACCAGGCAGGTGGCCGGCCTCGGAGTCATCGGGGGGCTGAGAATTCCATCCCCACGCTTCCCAAGTGAAGCAGCCCCTCCTCCCCCTGGGAACTTTGAGGGGTGAGGGTCTTCGTGTCGTTCTCTCCGGCACCCCCATGGCCTGGCATACAGTTAGTGCCCAATAAACGTTGGGTGCCGCTGAAGTCACAGGGGCAAGGATGCCTATCCTGGAGACGTGCACGCTGGGCCTGTGGGAGTGGGAGCGGGCGGGGGACTGCTGGGTAGGTAGGCGCAAGGCAGGGACGCCAAGGTTGGCTGGCGGGCAGGCTGGGTATGGGTTGGGTGCTGCGTGGGAGAGGCCTCTTACGCCCAAGGGCCTGGGACAGGTACCTCCCGCAGTTCCTGCCATCTGCCTCGCCCTTCCCCTTCTGGGGCAGAGGCCAGCACTTACTGAGCACCTACGATCTTCCAGGCACAGGGTCTTCTATTCTTTTTTTTTTTTTTTTTTTTTGAGACAGAGTCATGCTCTGTCGCCCAGGCTGGAGTACAATGGCGCGATCTCGGCTCACTGCAACCTCCACCTCCTGGGTTCAAGCAATTCTCCTGCCTCAGCCTCCCAAGTAGCTGAGATTACAGGCACATGCCACTGCGCCCGGCTAATTTTTGTATTTTTAGTAGAGACGGAGTTTCACCATGTTGGCCAGGCTGGTCTCAAACTCCTGACCTCAGGTGATCCTCCCACCTCGGCCTCCCAAAGTGCTGGGATTACAGGCGTGAGCCACTACGCCCAGCCTCAAGTGAGGTTTTATTACTGTACTTTATATCCCTGTGAATATTTCACAACCTTCAGCATTTACAAAGTATGCTTAATCACACCTGAACTGTAATAAAACCAGCTCTGCCTAGTTTAGCCAAGAGGGCATAAATGTTGATTAGTTCAAGAATCAATCCTGCCTGCTCCCCACCGGAGCAGCTCTAGCAGCTTCATATCTAATTCTTTCAGGAAGAACATTGAAAGTGTAGGAGCGGGCTTCCAAGTGCAGCTATCACTCCTGTCTTTGCTGGACCTCAAAGAGCATTCAAACAATCCCACTGCCTGACTAGGTGGTTCCCTGCCACCTATCAACAGCTTTTATAAAGATTTAGACAAAGAAGAACACAACAACATGCTTATGGTATTCCTATCAAAAGCTCATGATCTGAAACTAATCATAGGGAAACAGTAAGCAAACCCAAAACGAGAGACATTTGACAGCTGTCCTATCCAATACAATGGCTACTAGCCACATGTAGCTATTTTAATTAAAATTAAATAATACTTAGAAGCCAGTTCCTGAGACCCACGAGCCACATTTCTCTTTTTTTTTTTTTTTTTTTTTTTTGAAACAGAATCTCACTCTTTCACCCAGGCTGGAGTGCAGTGGCCCAATCTCGGCTCACTGCAACCTCCGCCTCCCGGGTTCAAGTGATTCTCCTGCCTCAGCCTCACGAGTAGCTGGGACTACAGGCGCATGTCACCACGCCCGGCCAATTTTTGTATTTTTAGTAGAGACGAGGTTTCACCATATGGGCCAGGCAGGTCTCAAACTCCTGACCTCAAGTGATCCACCCACCTTGGCCTCCCAAAGTGCTGGGATTACAGGCGTGAGCCACTGCACCTGGCCCATGAGCCACATTTCAAATGCTATTTTCATGTAGCTAATGGCTTCATACTCGGTGACACAGAGCATTTCTATTTTTTTTGTTTGTTTTGTTTTGAGACAGAGTTTCACTCTTGTTGTTGAGGTTGGAGTACAATGGCGTGATCTCGGCTCACCACAACCTCTGCCTCCCAGGTTCAAGCGATTCTCCTGCCTCAGCCTCCCGAGTAGCTGGGATTATAGGCATGCACCACCATGCCCAGCTAATTTTGCATTTTTAGTAGACACGGGGTTTCTCCACCTTGGCCAGGTTGGTCTCAAACTCCCGACCTCAGGTGATCTGCCTGCCTCAGCCTCCCAAAGTTCTGGGATTACAGGTGTGAGCCACAGCGTCAGGCCCAAACAGAGCATTTCTATCATCACTGAAAGTTCTATTGGATAGCACTGCTCTGCAGAATAACTCTTCAAAAATTTCAAGGTCAGGAAAAACAAGGAGACTGAGAGACTGCTCCAGAGAAAAGGACACCAAAGTGACATGACAACTGAATGCAATATGGGAACCTGGGTTGGATCCTGAAACAGAAAAAGGACTTCAGGTGAAATCCAAATAAGGCTTTTGGATCAGTTAACAATAATCTAGCTGGGCATGGTGGCTCACGCCTCTAATTCCAGCACTTTGGGACGCCGAGGTGGGTGGATCACCTGAGGTCAGGAGTTTGAAACCAGCCTGGACAACATGGTGAAACCCTGTCTCTACTAAAAATACAAAAATCAGCCAGGCATGGTGGTGGGCACCTGCAATCCCAGCTACTCAGGAGGCTGAGGTAGGAGAATCGCTTGAACCCGGGAGGCAGAGGCGGCAGTGAGCCGAGATCGCACCATTGCACTCCAGCTTGGGCAACAACAGTGAAACTCTGTCTCAAATTAACAACAACAACAACAATCTGTCAGTGTTAGGATCATTGTACTGGGTTATGTAAGATGTAAACATTTGCATTATTTTTGCAACTATGTTGTAAATCTGAAATTATTTCAAAAATATAAAGTAAAATAAATCATCTTTTGACCCTATCTGGCTATTTATATTATCTTTTATTTCTTATTGCATCCCACCCTATTTCATGGGTGTAATTCATTGATCACTGTCCATTTATTAGGAGAAGAGCAAGTCCAGAGAGTGATCTATGCTCTAGGCTGCCCCCAGTGAGGGCCTTGGAGCTGCCCCCTGCCCAGTAAAGTTCAGCACAGACAGGCCCATCTCCAGGCCTCCGAGGGAGGCTGTGACCCACCCATGATGACTCAGCACCCACCAGCTCACGTCACCCCCTGGAGAGCAGAGGTCAGGCGCAAAGACAGTGCCAGAGGGCTCCAAACTCGGTTATGTTCTCCGGTCTGAGCCCTTGAGGGAACTATGACTAAAAAACATAATCCCCTCCTTTATGACTTCATTTTGAATAGTATTTTAAACAGTTATTCTTTATGTTTTATTTATTTATTTTTAAAATAAAACAGACACAGTCTTGCTACATTGCTCTGGTTGGTCTTGAACTCCTGGGCTCAAGCAATCCTTCCATCTAAGCCTCCGAAGTAGCTAGGACCACAGGCACACTCCACTGCACTTAAACAGATATTCTTTATACTATTTTAATTTTTTCATTCTTTCAACTTAATTTACCAAAAATATATACTGTTTACAGCTAATGTGGGGAAAACAGAAATATTTGATGATGAAAACCAAAATCCATATTCATAATGCCACCATCTACAAAAATTAGCCAGTCATGGTGGCACACATCTGTAATCCCAGCTACTCAGGAGACTAAGGCAGGAGAATTGCCTGAACCCAGGAAACGGAGGTTACAGTGAGCCAAGATCATGCCACTGCACTCCAGCCTGGGCGACAGAGTGACTCCATCTCAAAAAAAATACTACTAATAATAATAATGCCACCATCCAGGGGTGACTGCTGGTGACGCTCCAGTGTCTTTTCTAGTATTTTTTTTTTTTCCTACAATACAGAGTCTCCAAGTCCTCTGACTTCCTGGGGTTATCCTTGCCTTGACCAGCCATGTAAGATGGTTCTGGTTCTAGCCATGATGTGGGACGTAATAGGGTCTGGCATGAGCCTGCCTTACCTCTCAGGGGTCTCAGGAGGAGGGGGCTTGGCTCACTTCAGCTCCTGGGTCAGTCGCTGCTACAGCCAGCTCCTCCTCTGGGACTGTGGTTGGCATAGCCCTTTCATCAGGCCTCAGGACACTGTGTGGCTCGTCACCTGCCGCTGACACAATACAGTGTGCTTAATCACATCTGAACTGTAATAAAACCAACTCTGCCTAGTTTAGCCAAGAGGGCATAAATGTTGATTAGTTCAAGAATCAATCCAGCCCTGCCTGGGCTCTTGCGGCTTCATATCTAATTGTTTCAGGAAGAACAATTGAAAGTGTGGGAGCCATAAGATTAGGCACACTTAATTGTATTGCTGCTTGGCAAGGACATGCCTTGAGAGTTAGATATCAGAGTTCCTAAAATTCACAGGCCTCCCCCAACACAGGGGACTTCTCCCTGGTCACGTCCCTCCACGCTCCCAGCTTCTGGTGCCCTGCTTGCTCTCAGCCCCTCTTGCTGTCTCTTGTCCTAGGGCTCCTCTCCCAAAATCAGATATTCAGTGCAGGAAACAGATGTCACCCTAGGTGTTTTGTGCATGGAAGGGTTTTGTTTCTTGAAGCACAGTTTACATTCAGTGAAATATATCAAACTTAAGTGTATGACTTGACTCTTTTTTTTTTTTTTTTTTTTGAGACGGAGTCTCACTCTGTCACCAGGCTGGAGTACAGTGGCATGATCTTGGCTCACTGCAACCTCCAACTCCCTGGTTCAAGCGATTCTCCTGCCCCAGCCTCCTGAGTAGCTGGGATTACAGGCATGCTCCACCACACCCAGCTAATTTTTGTATTTTTAGTAGAGACGGGGTTTCACCATGTTGGCCAGGATGGTCTCGATCTCCTGACCTTGTGATCCACCTGCCTTGGCCTCACAAAGTGCTGGGATTACAGGCGTGAGCCACCGCACCCGGCTCTCCCTTTTTTTTTTTTTTTTTTTTTTTTTGAGATGGAGTCTTGCTCTGTCGCCAGGCTGGAGTGCAGTGGCGTGATCTCAGCTCACTGCAACCTCTGCCTCCTGGGTTCAAAGGATTCTCCTACCACAGCGTCTCGAGTAGCTGGGATTACAGGCACCCACCACCATGCCCGGCTAATTTTTGTGGGTTTTTTTTTTTTTTTTTTTTAGTAGAGACAGGGTTTCACCATGTTAGCCAGGCTGGTCTCAAACTCCTGACCTCAGGTGATCCACCCGCCTCCACCCCCAAAGTGCTGGGATTACAGGCGTGAGGACTTGATTCATTTTTATCCAAGTAAATGGGTGTGACACCAGCATCCAGATCAACATCTAGAATATTTCCATTTCCCCAAAAGTTCCCAAGGCCTGGCATGATGCTCACACCTGTAATCCCAGCATTTTGGCAGATTGAAGCAGGAGAATTGCTTGAGCCCAGGAATCAGAGACCACCCTGGGCAACATGGCAAAACCCTATCTCTATGAAAAGTACAAAAAATTAGCCAGGCATGGTGGCACGCTCCTCTAGTCTCGGCTACCTGGGAGGCTGAGGCGGGAGGATCAATTGAGCCCAGGAGGTCGAGGTGGAGGTTGCAGTGAGCCATGATCGCATCACTGCATCTGAAGCTTCACTTGTTCAGAACTCAGTTCTGGAGTTCCTTCTGAGCTACTGATCCTCCCGCCTCAGCCTCACAAGTAGCTAGGACGACAAGCACATACCACTGGCCTTTTTTTTTTTTTTTTTGAGGCGGCGTCTCGCTCTGTCACCCAGGCTGGAGTGCAGTGGCGCTATCTTGGCTCACTGCATGCTCTGCCTCCCAGGTTTATGCCATTCTCCTGCCTCAGCCTCCCGAGTAGCTGGGACTACAGGCACCTGCCACTATGCCCGGCTAATTTTTTGTATTTTTAGTAGAGATGGGTTTCACCGTGTTAGCCAGGATGGTCTCGATCTCCTGACCTCGTGATCCGCCCGCCTCGGCCTCCCAAAGTACTGGGATTACAGGCATGAGCCACCGCGCCCGGCCACCACTGGCTCTTTTTAAATTTATTTTTTGTAGAGACAGGGTCTTGCTATGTTACACAGGCTGGTCCCAAACTCCTGGGCTCCAGCAGTCCTCCCACTTTGGATTCCCAAAGTGCTGAAACTACAGTTTTGAAGCACATTAGACCTCTTACTGCTTTGACTGCTTTTTTTTTTTTGAGACTCTTTTAGCCCAGGCTGAAGTGCAATGGCACGATCTCATCTAACTGCAACCTCCACCTCCAACCTCCACTTCCTGGGTTCAAGCAATTTTCCTGCCTCAGGCTCTGAGTAGCTGGGATTACAGGTGTGCACCACCACATCCGGCCAATTTTGTATTTTTAGGAGAGACAGGGTTTCACCATGTTGGCCAGGCTGGTCTGAAACTCCTGACCTCAGGCTATCCTCCTGCCTTAGCCTCCCAAAGTGCTGGGATTACAGGCGTGAGTCACCATGCCCGGCCTCTGACTGCTTTTTAACTCACCTTCCCTCAGGGCAGGAACCAGAGCCTATGGTAATACTCAATCATATTTATTTGTTTTTGTTTTTGGCGAGAGTGCAGCGACTGGAGTGCAGTGGGACGACTGTGGCTCACTGCAACCTCCGCCTCCTGGGTTCAAGTAATTCTTGTGTTTCAGCCTCCCAATTAGCTGGGATTACAGGTGTGCGCCACTACACCCAGCTAATTTTTTATTTTTAGTAGAAACGGGGTTTCACCATGTTGGCCAGGCTGGTCTCGAACTCCTGACCTCAGGTGATCTGCCTGCCTTAGCCTCCGAAAGTGTTGGGATTACAGGCGTGAGCCACGGTGCCCAGCCCCTCAATCATATTTGTAAACTCTTCCAGAACACTGAGGGGAAAGATAAATTTCTATTCATTAAAAGCAGTGTAGAAAGTCAGAGTAACTTTTTCTTTTTTTTCTTTTCTCTCTTTCTCTTTCTCCTTCCTTCCTTCTTTTTTTTTTTTTTTTTTTCGAGACAGGGTCTCACTCTGGTTGCCCAGGCTGGAGTGCAGTGGCGTGATCTTGGCTTACTACAGCCTTGACCCCCTGGGCTCAGGTGATTCTTCCACCTCAGCCTCCCAAGTAGCTGGGACTACAGGCTCATGCCACCACACCCAGCTAATTTTTTGTATAGATGGGGTTTCTCCATGTTGCCCAGGCTGGTCTCAAACTCCTGGACTCAAGCAATCCACCTGCCTCAGCCTCCCCAGAGTGCTGGGATTACAGGCGTGAGCCACCATGCCTGGCCCAGCCAGGGTAACTTCTGAACATAGGGTGACTTGCAGCAGGAAACTTGCAGGCCCTACACAGCTGCTTCCTTTCTGTAACTTGTGGCTTATCTCCTCGGAAATTGCAAGCAGTCCTGGGAGTAGCATCCTTGAGAGATTAAGAGATATCTTCTATTGTTTCTCTCTGCTTCTCAGCACAAAGAAAAAGTTACATGGTGATGTTGCAGAGTCCCTGGCCCCAGGGGTTTCCTATAAGCCACCTATTCATTCATTCCTTCATTCATTCCTTAGTTCGTTCAGTATATATTGGGTGCCTGTTATGTGCTAGCCGTTGGGTATAATGTAGAAAACAAAAGAGACACAACTCGTGGAGGTTATAACAAGATGGAAAAAAGAAATGGTAAACTAAATAACACAAAAGAAAGACTATGTAGCGGGGGAACGTTGTTGAAAAAGTTGGTAAAGCTCTATGTGCCTCTTAAGGAAAATGCATAATTCATCTCCAGAAGGATATGTCTTTCTGTGGCCCCCTTCAGAACAGACAGACATCAGTGGGGAAGGAGGTCTTGCCCACGAGTTTCATCGTGTTCCTTGAGTCTGTAATTTCAAAGCGGAGTTGAAAACATGCTTTGAGATGCTAACGGTGGAGCTTCAGGTCTGCATTTTTCTTTCTCTTTTTTTAGTGGGCACAGCTATGATATCAAAAGGTAGGCCTGGAACCAAGCTGATGGGAGAGGGAAGACCTGAACTGGTCAGTATAA
The DNA here is from genome assembly GCF_000001405.40 of Homo sapiens. Taxonomy (NCBI): domain Eukaryota; kingdom Metazoa; phylum Chordata; class Mammalia; order Primates; family Hominidae; genus Homo; species Homo sapiens. The sequence continues at coordinate 3,838,865 of NC_000020.11, read as the reverse complement.
GAAGGAAATGAGAAATGAACAGGAATGAAATGGGGCGCGAGTGGTCAGAGAGCAAAGAAGGAAGTGTGGGCAGTGAGTGCCTGATGGCTGCGGAGTTTCTGTTTCAAACGATAAAAAAAAATTTTAGAAATGGACACAACATTGGCCGGGCACGGTGGCTCACACCTGTAATCCCAGCACTTTGGGAGGCTGAGGCGGGTGGATCACCTGAGGTCAGGGGTTCGAGACCAGCCTGGCTAATATGGTGAAACTCCATCTCCACTAAAAATAAAAAAATTAGCCAGGCGTGATGGCAGGCGCCTATAATCCCAGCTACTCGGGAGACTGAGGCAGGAGAATCACTTGAACCCAGGAGGTGGAGGTTGCAGTGAGCCAAGATTGCGCCATTGCACTCCAGCCCGCGTGACAAGAGCGAGACTTTGTCTCAAAAATAAAAAATAAAATAAAAATAATGGACATAACATTGTGAATGTGCTTAATGCCACCAGATTCTACACTTAAAAATGGTTAAATGGTCTTTTTAATGTTAGGTATATTTTACAATAAAAAAGAAAAAAACAACAATTTTCTTTTTTTTTAGGATCGAGTCTTGCTCTTGTCGCCCAGGCTGGAGTGCGGTGGCGCAATTTCGGCTCACTGCAACCTCCGCATCCTGAGTTCAAGCAATTCTCCTGCCTCAGCCTCCCTAGTAGCTGGGATTACAGGCATGCACCACCACGCCTGGCTAATTTTTGTATTTTTAGTAGAGACAGTGTTTCACCATGTTGGCCAGGCTGGTCTCCAACTCCTGACCTCAGGTGATCCACCCGCCTCAGCCTCCCAAAATGCTGGGATTACAGGCGTGAGCCATTGTGCCTGGCCAAAAAAAACCCCACAATTTTTTAATTAAAAAAAATGAAAAGGAATGTAGCCCCAGCTACACAGGAGGATGAGGCCGGAGGATTGCTTGAGCTGAAGAGTTCCAGCCTGGGCAAAAGAGAGAGATCCCATCTCTCCAAAAAAAGAAAAGAAAAGAAAAAAGCTCTTTTTGGCTGGGTGCAGAGACTCACCCCTGTAATCCCAGCACTTTGGGAGGCCGAGGCAGGCAGATTACTTGAGCTTAGAAGTTTGAGACCAGCCTGGGCAACATGGCAAAACCCTGTCTCTACCAAAAGTACAAAAAGAAAATTAGCTAGGGCCAGGCATGGTGGCTCACACCTGTAATCCCAGCACTTTGGGAGGCCAAGGTGGGCGGATAACCTGAGGTCGGGAGTTCGAGACCAGCCTGACCAACATGGAGAAACCCCATCTCTACTAAAAATACAAAATTAGTCAGGCAATGCCTGTAATTCCAGCTACTCAGGAGGCTGAGGCAGAAGAATCGCTTGAACCCGAGAGGCGGAGATTGCGGTGAGCCGAGATAGCGCCATTGCACTCCAGCCTGGGCAACAAAAGCGAAACTCCGTCTCACAAAAAAAAAAAAGAAAAAAGAAAGAAAAAGAAAAGAAAATTAGCCAGGCTTGGTGGCACATGCCGGTGGTCCCAGCTACTCGGAAGCCTGAGGGGCCGAGGTGGGAAAATTGCCTGAGCCTGGGAGGCAGAGGTTGCAGTGAGGCGAGATCATGCCATTGCACCCCAGCCTGGGCAACAGAGTGAGACCTCATCTCAAAAAAAGAAAAAAAAAAAGCTTTTAAAAATACAATTTTATTAAGATAGGATCTCGCTTTGTTGCCCAGGCTGCTCTCAAACTCCTGGCTTCAAGCGATCCTTTTGCCTCGGCCTCTCAAAGTGCTGGGATTATAGGCATGTGCCACTGTACCCAGCCTGAAAACAGTTTAAAAATAAGGAGTAGCGTGAAAGCTGATGAGAAGCTGAGGCCCCAGGAGGAGACTAGGAGTGGGGAAACCCCACTGGGTGGAATGGGCAAGAGACTCAGGGGAAAGGTAGCATGTAACAATCAATTGTAAGTTTTTTTGCTCTGTCATTCTGTAAGATGACTCTCCTCTATCCCCCTAAATTCTTCTAACAGTTGGCTATACCCAAATGTCTGTTTCTTTAGGGACATCGAGGAAAAGATCTTCGTTTAGACAGACAGCAGGGCAGGGAGAAGAGCCGTATGTCCTGACCCCAAGTGAGACTGACAATGCCATAGAAGCAGAAAGCTAATGTACATAATGCCTAGGAGACATACGTCCCCTTGAGAAGCCCAGAAATGCTGGAGTACTAGGCATCCCATTGCAGGTAGGATGAGGACTCAGGAACTTCCATTTGCACACTAAGGGATGGAGCAATTCCATAATGGTGGAGGACCTGGAACTGACCAGAAGGCATAGACGTGAGTCACACAAGTGAACCTCCTGAATTTCACAGCTTGCAGCCTCTCTCCTTAGTTAAACTAAAGTGGGTCTTCCCTACGGAGCTACATTGTAGTCCCTACTTTACTGCAAGTAAGAGATACATCTTCAGGAAGCAGTTTTTCTTTTCTAGTGCTTTCTGAGATGCGCCAAATTAAAAGGATTAAAGGGGTGGGGACAATATAGCTACAATTGATAGGCAAAGAAGAGCCAACTAGTGCATAATTGGAATTCCTAGATGAGACAGAAACAATGAAATACAATACCTATTTAAAGATATACATTGGGAGGCTGAGGTGGGCAAATCAAGAGGTCAAGAGATCGAGACCATCCTGGCCAACATGGTGAAACCCCGTCTCTACCAAAAATACAAAAATTAGCTGGGCATGGTGGTGTGTGTCTGTAGTCCCAGCTACTCAGGAGGCTGAGGCAGGAGAATCGCTTGAACTCTGAAGGCATAGGCTGCAGTGAGCTGAGATTGCGCCACCGCACTCCAGCCTGGCGACAGAGCAAGACTCCGTCTCAAAAACAAATAAAAATAAGATATAATTCTGGAAAATACTTCTGAAGTAAAAAAGGACTTCAATCTACTTTTGAAAAAACACAGTATGGGCCGGGCGTGTTGGCTCACGCCTGTAATCCCAGCACTTTGGGAGGCCGAGGCGGGCGGATCACCTGAGGTCGGGAGTCTGAGACCAGCCTGACCAACGTGGAGAAACCCCATCTCTACTAAAAATACAAAATTAAACGGGCATGGTGGCGCATGCCTGTAATCTCAGCTACTCGGGAGGCTGAGGCAGGAGAATTGCTTGAACCTGGGAGGTGGAGGTTGCGGTGAGCCGAGATCGAGCCATTGCACACTTCGGCCTGGGCAACAAGAGCGAAACTCCGTCAAAAAAAAAAAAAAAAAAAGAATAAACACACTATGTTTGCACTATGAGATACATTCTAATAATGTTACTGAAATGTAAAGATGAATCTTTGGGGCACTCAGGCAGAAAGATCAAGTATAAAGGCTCTAAAAAGATTTTTTTTTTTTTAGACAGAGTTTCGCTCTTGTTACCCAGGCTGGAGTGCAATGGCGCAATCTCGGCTCACTGCAACTTCCATCTCCTGGGTTCAAGTGATTCTCCTGCCTCAGCCTCCCAAATAGCTGAGATTACAGGTATGTGCCACCACGCCCAGCTAATTTTTCGTATTTTTAGCAGAAACAGGGTTTCACCATGTTAGCCAGGCTGGTCTCAAACTCCTGACCTCAGGTGATCCACCCTCTTTGGCCTCCCAAAGTGCCGGGATTACAGGCATGAGCCACCGTGCCCAGCCAAAAATAATTTTTTAACATACAAGAACTCAAAAATATTGTTCTCACGAAGTCATGTAAAAATAGGGAATTAAGAAGGAAAAAAAGTGAAACTACAGATTTCTAGAAAATGTCAACAGTGAAAACACCACATCAGAACATATGGGATACAACTAAAGCTGTATCATAGGAAAATTCATAACTTAAAGACTAATGTCATTTTCTAAGACTGCAAACAAATGACTTAAGCACCCCTAAAGAGGTATGGATATACTAAATGAAAACAGAAGGAAACAGTTCATGAAAATAAAAGCCTAAAATAATGAGGTAATGCTGGGTTTTATTTCTTTTTTGTTTCTGTTTTTGGAGACATAGTTTCACTCTTGTTGCCCAGGCTGAGTGCAATGGCGCGATCTAAGCTCACCACAACCTCTGCCTCCCGGGTTCAAGTGATTCTCCTGCCTCAGCCTCCCAAGTAGCTGGGATTACAGGCATGCACCACCACATCCAGCTAATTTTGTATTTTTAGTAGAGACAGGGTTTCTCCATGTTGGTCAGGCTGGTCTCAAACTCCCGACCTCAGGTGATCTGCCCACTTCGGCCTCCCAAAGTGCTGGGATTACAGGCGTGAGCCACCACACCCAGCTGGTTTTTATTTCTTAAATGAAATGACAGGTACTTGGATGCTCATTATATAATTCTAAGCACCTTTTTGTAAATGTGAAATATGGTAGTTCACAATAACTTTTAGGTTTGCTAAATTAACTATAATCTAGCCACATGATGGATAAGAACTTAAAAGAATACAGATGCTGTCTCTGTAGTGCTATGACAAAAATATCCAGGATACACTGGTGAGTGAAAAAAGCAAGTGATGGCCAGGTGTGTGGTGGCTCACGCTTGTAATCCCAGCACTTTGGGAGGCTGAGGTGGGTGGATCACTTGAGGTCAGGAGTCCGAGACCAGCCTGGCTAACATGGTGAAACCCCGTCTCTACTAAAAATACAAAAATTAGCCAGGCATGGTGGTGTGCACCTGTAATCCCAGCTACTCAGGAGGCTGAGGCAGTAGAATCGCTTGAACCCGGGACGTGGAGATTGCAGTGAGCCGAGACTGCGCCTAAGTAGCTGGGATTACAGGCGTGTACCACCATTCCTGGCTTATTTTTGTATTTTTAGTAGAGACGTGGTTTCTGCCATGTTGGCCAGCCTTGTCTTGGACTCCTGACAGAGGGAGGGAAGGAGGGACGGAGGGAAGGAAGGAAGGAACGAAGGAAAGAAGGAAGGAAGGAACGAAGGAAGGAAGGAAGGAAGGAAGGAAGGAAGGAAGGAAGCAAGGAAACTACAGACCAGTATCTCTTGTGAACATAGATGCAAAACTCCTCAACAAAATAGTAGCAAATCAAATCCAGTAATGTATAAAAATAATTACTCAAAATGACCAAGCGGGATTTATTCCAGGTATGTGAGGCTAGTTCAACATTTGAAAATCAATTAAGATAATCAATTACATTGACAGGCTAACGATGTAAAATTGCATTATCATACCAATAAAAGCAGAAAAAGCATGTGGCAAAGTCCAACCACCATTTACAATAAAAACTCTCAACAAACTAGGAAATAAGAGAACTTCACAAGTTGATAAAGAACATTTACAAAAATCATACTTAATGGTGAGAAACTGGAAGCTTTCCCACTAAGGTCAGGAACAAGGCAATAATGTCCTAACAACTCATTTTCAATGTTGTACCAAAAGTCCTAGCTAATGTAGAAAATCTGAAAGAATCAACAAAAACAAACCAACAAAAACTCTTGGAACGAATAAGCATTACAGCAAGATTGCAAGACACAACATTAATATACAAAAGTCAATTGCTAAGCTGGACGAAGTGGCTCATGCCTGTAATTCCTGCACTTTGAGAGGTCAAGGCAGGCGGATCTATTGAGTCCAGGAGTTTGAGATTAGCCTTGGCAACCTCCCTGTAGGAAGACCTTATCTCTATTAAAAAAAGAAAAACTCAGCCGGGTGTGGTGATTCACACCTGTAATCCCAGCATTTTGGGAGGCTGAGGTGGGTGGATCACTGGGTCAAGAGATTGAGACCATCCTGGCCAACATGGTGAAACCCCGTGTCTATTAAAAATACAAAAATTAGCTGGGCATGGTGGTGCGCACCTGTAGTACCAGCTACTCGGGAGGCTGAGGCAGGAGAATCGCTTGAACCCGGGAGGTGGAGGTTGCAGTGAGCTGAGATGGTGGCACTGCACTCCAGCCTGGGCAACAGAGCGAGACTCCGTCTCAAAAAAAAGGAAAAAAATGGTGCCCAGGCACGATGGCTCACGCCTGTAATCCCAGCACTTTGGGAGGCCAAGGTGGGTGGATCACTTGAGATCAGGATTTTGAGACCAGACTGGCCAACATAGTGAAACCTCGTCTCTACTAAAAACACAAAAATTTAGCTGGGCATAGTGGTGCACATCTGTAATCTCAGCTACTTGGGAGGCTGAGGTGGGGGGATCACTTGAGCCCAGAAGGCACAGGCTGCAGTGAGCCAAGACTGCGCCACTGCACTCCAGCTTGGGCAACAGAGTGAGACCCTGTCTCAAAAAAGAAAAAAAAGTCAATTGCTTTCACTTATACAAGCAATCAGCAAGTGCAATGTTTTTTTTTTGTTTTTTTTTGTTTTTTTTTTTTTTGAGACAGAGTTTCACTCTGTTGCCCAGGCTGGAGTACAGTGGCGCGATCTCGGCTCACCGCAAGCTCCGCCTCCCGGGTTCATGCCATTCTCCTGCCTCAGCCTCCCGAGTAGCTGGGACTACAGGCGCTCACCACCACACCCAGCTAATTTTTTTGTATTTTTAGTAGACACGGGGTTTCACTGTGTTAACCAGGATGGTCTCGATCTCCTCACCTTGTGATCCGCCCGCCTCAGCCTCTCAAAGTGCTGGGATTACAGGAGTAAGCCACTACGCCCAGCTTTTTTTTTTTTTTTTTTTTGAGACAGTTTCACTCTGTCACCCAGGCTGAAGTGCAGTGGCATGATCTCAGCTCACTGGACCTCCACCTCCCAGGTTCAAATGATTCTCCTGCCTCAGCCTCCCAAGTAGCTGGGATTATAGGCATGTACCACCACTCCTGGCTAATTTTTGTATTTTTAGTAGAGACACGGTTTCTGCCATGTTGGCCAGGCTGGTCTCGGATTCCTGACCTCAGATGATCTACCCACCTTGGCCTCCCAAAGTGCTGGGATTATAGGCATGAGCCACTGTGCCCAGCCAAGTGCAATCTGATATTAAAACCACATTACCCACTTTGGAAGGCCAAGGTGGGAGGATTGCTTGAGCTCAGGAGTTGAAGGCCAGCTTGGACAACATAGCAAGACCCTGTCTCTACTAAATATTTAAAATTTAGCTGGGTGTGGTGGTGCATGCCTGTGGTGGGAAGATCACTTAGCCAGGGAGGTCCAGGCTGCAGTGAGCTGTGATCACACTACTGTACTGTAGCCTGGGTGACAGAGTAAAGACCTTGTCTCCAAAAAAAAAAAAAAAAAAAAATATATATATATATACACACACACACACACACACCACACACACACATATATATATAGATATATATATATGAAGAAAAAAGTTAAAGATTGACACTGCCTGACTTCAAGACTTACTATAAAGTTACAGTAATCAAGATAGTGGGCCAGGTGCAGTGGCTCACGCCTGTAATCCCAGCACTTTGGGAGGCCGAGGCGGGCAGATCACAAGGTCAGGAGATCAAGACCATCCTGGCTAATACGGTGAAACCCCGTCTCTGCTAAAAATACAAAAACAAAATTAGCCAGGTGTGGTGGCGGGCGCCTGTAGTCCCAGCTACTCAGGAGCCTGAGGCGGGAGAATGGCGTAAAGCTGGGAGGCGGAGCTTGCAGTGAGCCGAGATTGCGCCACTGCACTCCAGCCTGGGCGACAGAGTGAGACTCTCTCTCAGAAAAAAAAAAAAAAAAAAAAAAAAAACCTTGAAAAAAGATAGTGTGGTGGCCAGGCACAGTGGCTCATGCCTATAATCCCAGCATTTTGTGAGGCTGAGGTGGGCAGATTACCAGAGGTCAGGAGTTTGAGACCAGCCTGGCCAACACGGTGAAATCCCATCTCTAACAAAAATAGAAAAATTAGCCAGGCATGGTGGTGCATGCCTATAGTCCCAGCTACTAGGGAGGCTAAGGCGGGAGGGTGGCTTGAACCTGGAAGGTGGAGGTTGCAGTGAGCCAAGATTGCACCATTACACTCCAGGCTGGGTAAGAGTGAGACTCCATCTCAAAAAAAAAAAAAAAAAAAAATAGTGTAGTATTGGCAAAAGAATAGACAAACAGATTAATGGAACAGAATAAAGAACCCAGGAGAGACCCACATTAATACAGTCAACTGGTCTCTGACAAAGGAGTAAAAGCAATACAATGGAACAAAGATAGAAAGACTCTTTTCAAGAGATTATGTTGGAACAACTGAACATCCACATGCAAAAACATGAATCTACACATAGACCTTACACCCTTCACAAAAATGAACTCAAAATGGATCATAGACCTAAATGTAAAATGCAAAACTGTAAAACTTCTAGTAGATAACATAGGAGAAAATCTAGATGATATTGGATTGGTGATGACTTTTTAAATACAACAGTAAAGGCAGGATCCATTTAAAAAATTGACAAAGAGCTGGGCATGGTGGCTCACGCCTGTAATCCCAGCACTTTGGGAGGCCGAGGCGGGTGGATCACCTGAGGTCGGGAGTTCGAGACCAGCCTAACCAACATGGAGAAACCCTGTCTCTACGAAAAATACAAAATTAGCCAAGGGTGGTGGCACATGCCTGTAATCCCAGCTACTCAGGAGGCTGAGGCAGGGGAATTGCTTGAACCCGGGAGGCGAGGTTGTGGCGAGCCGAGATTGCACCATTGCACTCCAACCTGGGCAACAAGAGAGAAACTCCGTCTCAAAAAAAAAAAAAAAAAAAATTGACAAACTTCATTAATTTTTTTTTTTTTTTTTTGGAAACAAAGTCTTGCTCTGTCACCCAGGCTGGAGTGCAGTGGCACAGTCACAGGTCAGTGCAGCCTTGACCTCCTGGGCTTAAGCAATCCTTCGACCTCAGCCTCCCAAGTAGCTGGGACCACAGGTGTGCACCACACTCAGCCAATTTTTATATTTTTTTGTAGAGATGAAGTCTCTATGTTGTACAGGCTGGTTTCGAACTCCTGGGCTCAAGCAATCCTCCTGCCTTGGCCTCCCAAAGTGCTGGGATTACAGGCCTCATGAGCCACCTCGCCCGGCCCACTTCATTAAATTATATGAAACTGGACTTCATTAAATTTAAAAAGCTCTGCTTTGTGAAAGACACTGTCAAGAGAATGAGAAGACAAGCCACAGACTGGGAGAAAATATTTGCAAAAGGTATATCTGATAAAGAGCTGTTATCCAAAATACACAAAGAACTCTTAAAACTCAACAAAAAGAAATCACCCAAACAAGTTGCCTGTTTTAAAATGGGCAAAAGACTTGAACAGACACCTCACTAAAGATTTACAGATGGCAAGTAAGCATAGGAAAGATACTCTACGTCATGTTATTAGGGAACTGCAAATTAAAACAAGATTTCACTACATACCTATTAGAATGGCCAAAAGCCAGCCGGGTGCAGAGGCTCATGCCTGTAATCCCAGCACTCTGGGAGGCTGAAGCAGGCAGATGACTTCAGGTCAGGAGTTTGAGACCAGCCTGGCCAATATGGTGAAACCCTCTCTCTTCTAAAAATACAAAAATCAGCCAGGCGCGGTGGCGTGTGCCTGTAGTCCCAGCTATTCAGGAGGCTGAGGCAGAAGAATGGTTTGAACCCGGGAGGCGGAGGTCGCAGTGAGTGGAGATTGTGCCACTGCACTCCAGCCTGGATGACAGAGCGAGACTCTGTCTCAGAAAAAAAAAAAAAAAAATCAGCCAGGCGTGGTGGCACACGCCTGTAATCCCAGCTACTCGGGAAGCTGAGGCAGGAGAATTGCTTGAACCTGGGCAGTCAAGGTTGCAGTGAGGCGAGATAGTGCCACTGCACTCCAGTCTGGATGACAAAGGACACTCCGTCTCAGGAAAAAAAAAAAAAAAAAGAATGGGCCAAAACCAAAACAGTGACGAAACCAAATGTTTCAGAGGATGTAGAGCAACAGAAACCCTCATTAACTGCCAACAGGAATGCAAAATGGTACAGCCACTTTTGAAGACAGTTTGGCAGTTTCTTACAAAATGAAACATACTCTTACCACAGAATCCAGGACTCATATTCCTTGGTATTTATGAGTATTTATACTCCCAAAGGAGTTGAAAACTTATGTTCACACAAAAACCTGTACACAAATGTTTGTAGCAGTTGTATTCATAATTGCCAAAACTTGGAAGCAACCAAGATGTCCTTCAGTAGGTGAACAGATAATGTACATCCACATAATGGAATACTATTCAGCAGTACTTCCAAAATGAGCTGTCAAGCTCATGATTCAGCCATGAAAAGACTTGAAGGAATCTTAAATGTACATTACTAAGTGAAGGAAGTCAATCTGAAAAGGCTACATATACAGTATGAATCTAACTACACAACATTCTGGAAAAGGCAAAACTATGGAAGCAGTAAAAGGATCAATGGTTGCTAGGGGTTGAGGGGAGGGAAGAATGAACAGGTGCAGCAGAGGACTGTTCGGGCAGGGAAACTCTTCTGTATGATACTATAATGGTAGATGCATGTCACTGAAAATACATCCAAACCTATAGAATGTACCACCCCAAGAGTGAACCCTAATGTAAACTATGGACTCTGGTGATAGTGACGTGTCAATGAAGGTCCATCAGTTGTAACAAATGACCACTCTGGTGCCCAGTGTTGGTGATAAGGGAGGCTGTGCATGTGTGGGGACAGGGAGTAAATGAGAACTCTCTGTACCCTCTGCTCAGTTTTACTGTGAACCTAAAATTGCACTAAACAAATAAAGTATATTTAAGAAAACGGTCACGGCCACTTGAATTGCAGTAATAAACATACAGAGACTTGGTTAACGGGTCACAGAGTATTGAATCTGACAAACACGGTTAACTGCATTACAATAAAATATAGGAATAATTGTTTAAAAGAAAAGATTGAGGCCAGGCATGGTGGCTCACACCTGTAATCTCAGCACTTTGGGAGGCCAATATGGGTGGATCACCTGAGGTAAGGAGTTCGAGACCAGCCTGGCCAACACGGTGAAACCCTGTCTCTACTAAAGATACAAAAATTAGCCAGGCATGGTGGCACATGCTTGTAATCCCAGCTACTTGGGAGGCTGAGGCGGTAGAATTGCTTGAACCCAGGAGGCAGAGGTTGCAGTGAGCCAAGATTGCACCACTGCACTCCAGCCTGAGCAACAGAGTGAGACTCCATCTCAAAAAAAAAAAAAAAAGAAAAAGAAAAGAAAACATTGAGCCCTGGGGGGATGCTGGACAGTGCGCAGCACCACAGGGCTAGAAAAAAACACCCTGCCCTAAAGGAGACAAGATGATCCAATCCCATCCCAGGGCTCACATACATGCAGTGTATGTGACCCAATCAGTGACCCACATACATGCAGGCCAGTTCCTGCCTTAAAACCTGTGACTTCATGCCAGTCAGTCGTGGTGGCTCACGCCTATAATCCCGGTACTTTGAGAGGCCACGGCGGGCGGATCACAAGGTCAGGAGATGTAGACCAACCTGGCTAACACGGTGAAACCCCGTCTCTACTAAAAATAGAAAAACTTAACCGGACGTGGTGGCAGGCACCTGTAGTCCCAGCTACTTGGGAGGCTGAGACAGAATGGCGTGAATCTGGGAGGCGGAGCTTGCAATGAGCCGAGATTGCGCCACTGCACTCCAGCCTGGGCAACAAAGAGAAACTCCGCCTAAAACAAAACAAAACAAAACCTGTGACTTCTTCCTCCTTCCAGGTAAGCTCTCTTCTCTGGGCTCTACTGCCCTCCTGTCATCATCTGTTGTCCCAGGAGTGTTTGTGGAGGTACACTGGTAACACTACTAGCTGCTCAAAGTCTCTAGTTCTCTCAAGAAGCTGAGGGATATGTGGTTTGGCCAGGGTTCCTGGGGCAGGGAGAAGAAAGGGAAGAGGCTTGGAGAGGGAGGCAAGTTTGCTTCCATAGCCATCTCACTTTTAGTTCTAAATCCTGGCTCCTTCACTTGGCCTTCGTCACTGAAGTGCCCCTTCTTCCTTTAGGTGTTTAAAGCACTTGTGAGCAGCAATTCAGGGATGCTCAAACCATTGCTGCTTTGCAGTCATCTGCAGTCACCTGGCCTTAGCTCTGTCTCTCCTGGAACTTTGGGGTCATTCTGTATCCTGCATTGCACCCAGCAGAGCATCAGGCCCAAGGGAGGCTCGATAAATATATGGTGAGCATAAATTGTGGTGGAAACCCAGCCCAAGAGGCTGGGGCAGAAGTGTGAAGTGTGGGAAGGGTGCTGGGCAAGCTCATCTGGTTAAGAAAACCCTGGTCCAGCTGGACAGGAACTGGAGCTCAGCAGCCCCACGGTGTGGTCTCAGTCTCTACTATTCTCTTGTCCATCAGTTTGCCCCACCTCATGAGAACCAGGCCACCAGCCACGCCTAACCTCAACTTCCCACAGCTCCCAGGGGAGCAGAGTCTCAACCTCTTCCTTAAGTTCCGTTTGAAAAAAAGGCAGAAAGAATTCAGATCAGTAAGCTTGAGCCTTTCCATAGAGGACAAAATGGCCTGTTCCCTGAGAACACAGCCAATCCACCAGGACCGCCAGCCTGGGGTGAGGGGTGGGCCAGGAGAACAGAATGTATAGGGAAGGGGTGTCCCTACTAGAGGCCTGTGGGACATTTCCACTGGTGGGACTTGGCCACACACACAGAGTAACATCCCTTTAGGTCTTCATGGTCAAGGTGGTTTGTGGCACCATAAAATGGAAAAGGTGGCCTCATCCCAATTATGTTGACAGTGGTGGTAGAAGGCCTGGCATGGCTGGTGGCCTTGGCCATGGACTTGGAAGGGCTAATCATCAGTGCTGCCTCCAAAGTGGGTGTAGTTGGGTCCATCCTGGATGCTAAAGGGCAACTGATGGATGGCAAGCATGAGAGCTGAGCACCTAGGAGGCTCGTTCTGCCAAGAAAGCCTCACCTTCCTTGGTAACAGGAAGATCATGAAAATCAATGTAAACTGAAGTGGTTTTTCCCCCACCCCCCGCCCCCAACTGAGTAAGTTTAAACCTTCACTAGAAGCTGCTGATTGAAGACCTCCTAACCACCGACTTTTGGTACCCCACCCATATCCCTTTGGGACTCAACATGGTGCAGGCAGGCCCAGCTCCACATTGCCTGAAGGCTTTTTCTCAGGGGCAGAAAGAGCCAGGGAATGTATGCACCCTGGGATCAACCTGTAACCACTGACTAAAGGCAGTAGGCAAACACCCACAGCCGCCACCTCTCAGGTGAGGTAATTCAGAGGCAACTGCTGTGTGCAGCCCCCTAGAGGCACTCAGCTCCCTACCACAGTCCTAATAGGCTTGACAAGCATTCACGAGGACTGTGTCCCCTTCCTGCTTCCCGGGATCACCGCCCACCCCACATAAACCACTCGCACCAATTCTCAGCCCAAGCACTGCTTCTCAGACGGCTCTGCCACAGCCACCTGCCACCTGTGACATATACTTTGGTGGAGAAATGTGTGCCACCATCCAAAGGAGGCCTCTAAGGAGACAGAGGTGAGGTGGGGATGAGAGATGGAGGCATCCCAAGAAGCCTCCTAGGGGGATCCTTGACCACGAAAGCTCAGACACGCAGCTTTGGGGCCATCCAGAGAGGCACTCACTCATAGGAGCAGGATGCACGCATCAAACTCACAGAAAGAGGGTAAAATCACACAGCCAGTGCTTTTAATTCAAAACGAAAAATATGTCATCCAGGCTAGACTGCTCACATTCATCTGACAGCAACTTCTCTCCCTGCAGATGAGGGAAGGCTGTGATGACTTTATCTCGAGCCTGCCTGGTGGGAACGGGCTTGGCACAAAAGGAGCTGCAGAATCCTGCTGCTGATTGGCAGATGCATTTCTGAACTCAGCGGGGGCTGGACACTGAGCAGGACCTTGTTGATAATACTGCCTAAGTGGGCACAAAGCCAGGGGCTGTGGCCTGCCAGCATGCAGGCACAGCTCCTCCACCCTCAGGGGAGTCTGAGACCCCTTTTGTGTTTCGATGACTGTGGGATTTTTTTTTTTTTTTTGAGATGGAGTCTCACTCTGTTGCCCAGGCTGGAGTGAAGTGGCGCACTCTCGGCTCACTGCAAACTCTGCCTCCCAGGTTCAAGTGATTCCCATGACTCAGCCCCCTGAGCAGCTAGGATTACAGGTGGGCGCCATACACCCAGCTAATTTTTGTATTTTTAGTAGAGATGGGGTTTCACTATGTTGGCCAGGCTGGTCTTGAACTCCCGACCTGAGGTGGTCCAACCACCTCAGCCCCGCAAAGTGCTGGGATTACAGGCGTGAGCCACCGCGCCTGGCCTTGACTGTGGGTTTGGAAGAAGAGCGGGGTGAGCTCCAGGCAGCTCCTCACCCTAGCACTATCGGCTGGCAGGGATGGAGGAAGGTGGGTTCAAGGACAAGCGTGGCTGCCGCACGGCAGCGGTCTAAGTAACACAGCAGCTCTAGGCTCAGGAAGTTCTGTGGTTCCACTAACCTGAGGACAGGCAGGACCTCCTCCACCCTCTGCCCAGCCCCCTTTCTGCAGGCTTGTGTCACCCACTTGTCCTGGTATAGCAGCACATCAGAGCTGCTGGGTAGGAGGGAGATGCCAAGCTTCATCTGGCTGTGTGTCTACCCTCTGCCTGCCCTCAGAAGCACCATCCCAACGAGGAATCAGCGGGGCCAAGCGGCACTGAATTCCTTCTCCAGGCCTTGGACAAACTGGTCGTTGAGGAAAAGCAGCTGACCATGTGGCAGGAAGCGGGTGAGGATGCCCTCAATGCGGTCAGCCCGCAGCAGAAGGCTGGTGCTGGGCGCCAGCAGCCGGAGGTGGTCAAGGAGGAGGCGTGTCAGCAGCCGGAGCGTGCCCTCAGCCAGTAGCAGGTTCTCATGGGCATCCAGCACCAGGGCAAAGCCTAACGAGAGCACGCCCAGCCACACCACCGTCCGTGGCTCCTGGAAAGGGTTCTCTGCTGCCAGGCGGAAAGCCCCACGTGGGGCCTCGTGCAGCGGCACTTGCTCATCTGAGGATTGCGGCTGCAGGTCCATGGGGGGCCGGCCAGATGCCTGCTGCTGCAGCCGACACATTGACTCTACCTGCCTGGGGAGAGTGGGCAGGTCAGGCTGGTGGGCTCACACACCAACTCTGTCATCCTCATGATCAACCCTGGTGCTGGGAGCTACCATCATCCCCATATCTCAAGTGAGAAAACTGAGGCCTAGAGAGACTAAGTGATCTGCCCAGGGCCACAGAATCAGGAAGTGTGAGCCTCCAGGTCCTGAACCACTTTATTCCATGTGGCCAAGAGGGCAGGTTTTCAACCCAGCTCCTTGGGCTGAAAAAGGGCACCAGAGGAAGAAGATCCTGCCCTCACCTGCTTCACAGAGGCCTTCTCCACATAAAGGAAAGGGAAGCGGCTTGGCCAGGCGCGGTGGCTCAAGCCTGTAATCCCAGCACTTTGGGAGGCCGAGGCGGGCGGATCACGAGGTCAGGAGATCGAGACCATCCTGGCTAACATAGTGAAACCCCGTCTCTACTAAAAATATTTAAAAAAATTAGCCAGGCGTGGTGGCGGGCGCCTGTAGTCCCAGCTACTCGGGAGGCTGAGGCAGGAGAATGGCATGAACCCAGGAGGCGGAGGTTGCAGTGAGCCAAGATTGCGCCACTGCACTCCAGCCTGGGCGACAGAGCAAGACTCCATCTCAAAAAAAGGAAAGGGATGAGGCAGAAAATAAACGCCATCACCCAACGTGGGCAGTCCAATCTCCACCCTATCCTGCAACCCTCTCCAAATATGAAAGAAAGACCTTCCATTGGACCAACAAGGCTTCTTAGAAGCTCCCTTTGATCTTTCCTGAATCACCTTCCAGTCTGAGCCACGCACAGGCTGGTTTTAAAGGCATGTATTTGGTTTTCTGAGCTACAGGGAGGGGAAGGAGAATAAGAAGAACAAGGGAAAGGCAGGAGTTGGCAGAAGGTTGCCCCAGAGTGGTGCTACCCCACCCAGAATGCGGAGGTCCAGGAGGCTCCAGCACCTACCAGTTCTGGCTGGGTCTGAGAGGGGAAGAGCCAAGGCTAGCCACCCTAGTCTGGAACAGTATATTCCAAACTGTGATCTGGATCCCTGGCTTTCTGGAGTCCTCATGTACCACATCCTCTCTCTTCGTTAGAAATTCATAAAGTCTACAGGCACACTAAAGGCCCTGTTAAGTACTGCACTGAAAAGCATGTTTAATCTGTACTGTCTGCCTGCCTACTCTCAAATCTTAGTTCTGCTACTTTCTAGCTATGTAACCTTGGACAGGTTAAATTCCTCAAACACTCTATACCTCAGTTTACTCATCTATAAGGTGGAGATAATAACTATACCTACCTCAAAAGACTATTATGAGGATTAAATGAGTTAATATATATAAGATGTTCAGAATATAAATGCTTAGCACTTACAGGCTGAACAAATGCTAATTATACTAATAATGATAACAGAATTATTATTTATTTAACCCTTTTCACGTAACACTTATGAAAAGCTGTGGAAGACTCTCTGGGAAATGCTACTCTAAAACTTCCTCTCTGCTTCTTAGTCCTCCTATTTCTCTGCGTCCCCACTCCCCGAAAATACCTATTACAATCAGGTACGTGTTCAATGAAGGCCTGGGGCTGGGCTGTGTGGTTACCTGGCCACAGCTAAAATCTGTTCCTTCCGGAGAAGCCTGTCCCTCTCGGCACCATGCGGCCGTGGGTCATCAGGTGACTTCTCAGCACCGAAGACGCAGGAGTACAGCACTCGGCAAAGGCCCGTGTCCTCAGTATTCGGGGCCCTCAAGGTGTGAATGAGGAAGGCGTGGACCATGGCTCCAGGGTGGGTGCTACAGGGAAGCCAGAGACATTGGTAAGGTGAGAGTGAACCCCAGCAGGAGAGGCGACCACAGGAAGGGGCTGACCTGGCAGTGTCTGGGAGTGTATCCAGAGGCCAGTGAGGCTGAACACTTTGAATAACAGCATCTGAACAACATCACATAACAGAATCCAGTGATAAAAAATCTCAGACATACATAAGCAGAATAGGCATAAACTAAAAAAAAAAAAAAAGAAAAAAGAAAAACAAACAAACAAACAAAAAAAATCTCAGACCACCCTAAACCTAGTTCTACAAAACAACAGGTATCTTCAAAAGCGTCAAGGTCATGCGGTCATGGAAAACCTGAGGAGCTGCTCCAGACCGAAGGAGACTGAAGAGACCAGATAGCTGAATGCGACGTGTACTCCTGGATCGGGTCCTGGACCAAGAAAAGGGTAATTTGGGCCAGGTGTGGTGACTCACGCCTGTAATCCCAGCACCTTGGGAGGTCTAGGTGGGCGGATCACTTGAGGTCAGGAGTTCCAGACCAGCCTGCCAACATGGTGAAACCTCATCTCTACTAAAAATAAATTAGCCGGGCATGGTGGCGCATGGTTGTAACCCCAGCTACTTGAGAGGCTGAAGCCACAGAATCGCTTGAACCCGGGAGGGGAGGCTGCAGTGAGCCGAGATCGCACCACTGCACTTCAGCCTGGGCGACAGAGGGAAACTCTTGTCTCAAAAAAAAAGAAAGAAAAACAAAAGGATAATTTCCATAAAGGGCATTATTAGGACACTAATAAAAACTTTAAAAACATTTCAATATGGACTATGGGTCAGAAAAAGTCTTGACCAATGTTACCCGATTTTGAATGCAGGAGCTCGTCCTTGTTTTTAGAAAATAAACACGGATGGGCCTCTAAATATAGAGGAAACAGGATTTCATATCTGCAACTAACTCACTTGGTCCAGGGAAGAAAAAAGGCAGAGAGAAAAACAGAGGAAATAATAAGGTAAATGGGGCAAATGAGGTTACAACTTGTGAATCTCATCCAAGTGCATACAGGAGTTACCTGAAACTGTTTCAAAATAGAAACTAAATAATAGTAATGGTTATCTGGCTGGCTCAGTGGCCGGCCCGGGGGTTGAAAGGCGGCGGGTACACAGTCAGTGGGTATCTGTAGCTAAGGCTAAACAGACCGTCAGTTTAAACTGGTAAAATAGCAGGTTCGCAAAGGCACTTCGAGAACCGGAGCCCAGCACCCAATTGCTGACCTCCGCAACCCTCCAGCCGCCAGCAGAGCGCGTCATCACTCCGCGCCGCCGCGTCCCGCCTCTACTAGAGAAATGGTAGCGGTCAAGACAGCTTACGTCACTGCCTCCGTAACCTTGAGGCGCAAGGCACTTCGGGGGTTGTAGTTTCTTACTCCGGTCAGCCAGGCCTAAATGGGGCACCCCGCCCTGAATGTGTTGCCCCTGCAGCTCCGGTCCGCTGTCGTCGAGGCGTCGCCTCAGCCTTCCGTCCGGGCCCGCGGACTGCCACCAAGCGCTCCCCTCCGTGGCAGGAGAGCAATGGCGGCTGCGCGGCCCGTGGGCGCCTGCGCACGTCGGTCGCGGGCGCGCGCGCCAGCTGACGCCGTCGGGTTGGGCGGAGCGCTCATGTCCAGCGCGGTGCTGCAGCAGCCAGGTGCTGGCGGCATATCCCGATGCTTGGACCCTCGGCGTGGGCTGGCCTTGCAGTCAAAACCCTCCGGCCCCGAGCTGCCGGCAGGGACCATGCTGGTCACTCTCGCTGCGGGCTCGAAGCGTCCCCCGCTCGTTGCCCTAGATCAGCGGAGCCCCAGGCTGCCGACCCCGGCGGCCGCGAGGGGGCGCCGCGGCTCGGAGCGCGGAGTCTGCGGAAAAGGCCGGGGCCTAGTTGTCCCCGGAGGGCGGGGCGCGTCGCCTGCGGCCTTAGGAGGCTCCGGGACGGGCGGCGGGTGGACCTAGGCCGGGCCGCGCAGCTACGGGCTGCGGCTGAGTTCTTATCTAGCCAACATGCGTGAGAATCACTGGGGCACCAGTTCAAATGTACATTCCTGGGCTGTACCCCCGGAAATTATGACTTTGGAGGGAAATATGTGTATTTAGGCACATGGGTATTTTGCGCGGATTTTAAATACAAATATGTGTATTTTGCGCAGATTCTGAATTTGTGGGTTCCTGCAGCGGTTTAATGCTGTCACTCGGTTCGGCGCAGAACGATTCGAACGCTGCTTCTGGACTCTCAGTGTGTGTCCCTGGCAGATCTGTCAATTTCATTGGGCCCCAGTAAAACCTTGTAGAGTGTCGCCCAGGGCGAACGCTTAGTAGGGCTGACCAGCAAGCCCCCTTCTTGACTGGAGGCCATCAAAACAACAGGGAAGAGGTTTATACCTTAAACCTGAAAGGGGCACTCTGGCGCTAACCCCTATAGAGCCTTACGTAAAAGCCCCAACTTGGAGGCTTGGCCCATTGGTGTTTGGGGGCCCCACAAGGCCTGCCTGGGCCTCACTGCCTGACTTGCATGTGTTCCTCCAGCCACCACCACCACTACCACCCCCACCGCGACCATGAAGCTGCACCTCCTTTACCTCTTGGCATGTGAATGGCTTCAGCCTTGTCCCCCAAATGTGCCTCGGAGCCTCCCCCACTGACTGTTCCCCCAGCCTAGAATTCCCTTTCCCGGCTTTTTTTTTTTTTTTTTTTTTTTTTGCAGCCTCGCTGCCCGCTCCCATCAGCAATGCTCCTACCTCAGCCCCCCAAGTAGCTGGGACTATAGGCAGGCAACACATCCAGCTACTTTAAATTTTTTTGTAGAGTTAGCGTCTCACTGTATTGCCCAGGCTGGTCTTGAACTCTGGGCTCAAGTGATCCTCCCGCTTCTCCCCCACAAATTGCTAGGATTACAGGCGTGAGTCTCCACGCCTGGCCTTTCCTGTCCTTTTAATTGACCTTGTAGATATATACTCAGACAAAATGGGAGGAAGCCTTCCTGCTCAGGCTGCCCGTTGGCATTCAGCTGCGGCCTTTGCACCCCTGTGAATCAGGTCTCACCAATAGTGCTGATGGCTTCCATCTCCACTCCCCAGGGCCATGCACAACACAGGACTGGAGCCGGCTTGAACACGCTCTTTGGTGACAAGAAAGGAGAACAGGGTAGGGTGGCCCAGGCAGGGATCCTAGAGCCAGCACCCCCTGAGAAAGTGCACTCTGGGCCCCTTAAGCCATAGGACCCAGGATAGGTTAGGAGGTGACTGAAGGGAAGCTGCAGGTGGCCAGGGCCTGGCCAAAGCATGTGACAACACGTAAATGTGTGTGCAGGTGTTGCGGCAAGCCCAGAGACTGTGGGGCCTCAGCTACGAGGCTGGGGAGTGATGTTGGCACAGCTCCTGGTCCCCAGTCCCTATTGCTCTCAGCCAGGGCTGGTGTCTGCCAGCTGATTACAGCAGAGAGCTAGCAAGGAGAGGGCTCTGGTTGCTGGGGGCCACCTGGCATCTGGAACACAGTTTCCCAGCCTCTGTCCACTCCTCAGGCAGTGAGTCAACACCAAGTTTCTGACCACTAGAGGGCTGGCCTCATGTGAGGTGTGTGGAGGAGACAGCTGTGGGAGGCTGGCTTGAGCTACTACTCCCAGAGGACAGTGGGAGACCCAGATGGAGGTGACAGCATGGAGGGCTTCCTCAGCCTACTGGGAGTGGGGGTTTTGCTTGATGGTTTTGCTGGAGGCTGCTTGTGGGTGTGCCCTGGGAGATCCCTTTTCCTTGGCCACTGGGCTCTCCTGGGTCCAACCCATGCTTCTGAGAGTCTGTTCTGGGTACATTGGGAATGTCTATGCCTGCTAGCTCAGACATCATCTAAAACAGCAAGCCCAGCAGTGGCTACTCATGCTGACCTCACTGCTCCATGACCCAGCAGCGCCACTCTTGATGTGTACCTGAGTGAAATAAGGGCTGTTGTTCACCAAAAGACACAAATAGAATATTCATAGTATCTTTGCTCTTTTTTTTTTTTTTTTTTTTTTTTTGAGATGGAGTCTTGCTCTTGTCACCCAGGCTGGAGTGCAGTGGCACGATCTCGGCTCACTGCAACCTTTGCCTCCTGGATTCAAGCGATTCTCCTGCCTTAGCCTCCCGAGTAGCTGGGGTTACAGGCACCTGCCACCACGTCTGTCTAATTTTTGTATTTTCATTAGAGACGGGGTTTCGCCATGTTGGCCAGGCTGGTCTCGAACTCCTGGCCTCATGAACTCCTGCCCGCCTTGGCCTCCCAAAGTGCTGGGATTACAGGCATGAGCCACCGCCCCTGGCCAGTATCTTTACTCTTAATTGTCCCAAACTGGAAACTACCCAAATATCCATCAGTTATGGAATGATGGATAAATTGTGGTATACTCGTACAGTGGAATAGTATAGGGCAATGGAAAAGAACAACTACTGATACACAACATGAGTGACTCTCACAGACACAATGTTCAGTGAAAGAAGCCAGTCACAGAAGTGTACATGCCATGTGACTCCATTAACATAAAAGGTCCAAATCTAGGCAAGCCATGCTGCACTGTTACAAGTCAGAATGGTGGTTATCCCAGGGAGGCAATGACTGGAGAGGCATGGAGCTTTAGGAGATGGTCACATTCCAAGTCTTGATCTGGGTGGTGATTACATGAGTATATTCTCTTTGTAAGTATTAACCAAGCTGGACACTTAAGATATATGCACTTTTCTATATACTAAATTCAATTAAAACCTTAACAATGGCTGTGACAATTCCACTAAAACGATTTTACTTTGAAGTCTGCCTTTAAACTGGAAGATAAGAATGGGATAGCCGGGCGCAGTGGCTCACGCTTGTAATCCCAGCACTTTGGGAGGCCGAGGAGGGTGGATCACGAGGTCAGGAGATCGAGACCACGGTGAAACCCCGTCTCTACTAAAAATACAAAAAATTAGCCGGGCGTGGTGGCGGGCGCCTGTAGTCCCAGCTACTCGGAAAGGCTGAGGCAGGAGAATGGTGTGAACCCGGGAGGAGGAGCTTGCAGTGAGCCGAGATCGCGCCACTGCCCTCCAGCCTGGGTGACAGAGCGAGACTCGTCTCAAAAAAAAAAAAAAAAAAAGGAATGTGATAGAATCCTTCCCCTGCCCCAAGGCTTGAATTCTGGCAGGGTTGAGGTTTTTAGCATGAGAAGAAATTTAGAGCATAGCCTTTCATTTAACAGATAACTAAGTGGGCTCAGAGATGCTCCCTGATGTGGCCAGTGTCTCACAGCATGGTGCCAAGTGGAAGGCACCGGGGACATGAGCTCTGCTCCCTGGAGCAGCCACCATGGAAGTAAGAGAGGTCGGGGGAGGACTGTACGTGGAGGGAGGACTTGAACAAGATCGCAAAGGATGGAGATGGCCTAAAAGTGAGAACACACCATTCATTTGTGTGCTCATCCACTCATTCTGCTGGGAAAATCCTCTGGGTGCTTAGAGTTCCCATCAGGCTCTGTGCAGACAGGTGCAATGGCCAAGGCAAGTAGGAGTCAAGATGGCCAACAGATTCAGAAGTGGGGAGGACTCTGGAGGAGCAATCTGGCAAGACTGTGTGGAGGAGGGAGCATCTGAACTGGGCTTTCTGGAGAGGTAGGAGTTCAGTAGCTGCAGATGGCAGGAAGGGCATTCTGGATATAAGGACTAGATCAGAGCAAATACAAAGGGTGAAAAGAAGCCAGCCTTCCCAGACTCAGGGTCCCCTGGCCCTCCTTTATTTAGAGGACATGAGTCCAATCAGAAATGCATCTGCATCCTCCCCAGCCGGTGGGGCACTGTAGGAGCCACCTGGGTGAGGCCTCAGGAAAGTCATTGTTTTCCAAATAAGGGGGGCAGACTCAGTGCCATTCTCTGACTTTTTGTGACCCCAGGGCCAAAAGCTGTGTGCTGAGAACAGTGAGGCAGGAAGGAGCCTCGGCCCCAGAGATGCTGCAGAGTCTACTTGTTGAGTGAGGTGTACAGACATTTATGTGGTTAAACCGCTGAGTGGGGTTTCTGTTACATGCAACTTAACGCCCTCCTAAGTGAGGCAGCATGTGAAGTGGACAGGGTAGAGCCTGGCACCTAGTAGGCACTCTATACATCAATAAATGTTGACCACCGTTAATCCAGCGGCAGACAGGGGAAGGTATCAGAGAGGACTTGATCAGCACCAGAAAAAACAGGTGGGGCAGCTCAGAGGTGAGGGGGGACCAGCAGGACATCCTGTGGTTGCCAGACCTGCCCTGAAGACGAAACAGAAGAGTCTGAGTGTGCTGCGGCCATGTGTGTGCATGTTCATGTGTGTGAGGCTTTTTATTTTATTTTTTAGATAGTCTTGCTCTGTCACCCAAGCTGGAGTGCAATGGCGTGATCTTGGTTCACTGCAACCTCTGCCTCCCCGGTTCAAGCAATTCTCCTGCCTTAGCCTCCTGAGTAGCTGGGATTACAGGCACCTGCCACCACACCCAGCTAATTTTTATAATTTTAGTATAGATGGGGTTTCACCATGTTGGCCAGGCTGGTCTCGAACTCCTGACCTCAAGTGATCCACTCGCCTTGGCCCCCCAAATCGCTGGGATTACAGGCATGAGCCACTGTGCCCAGCCATGTGTGAGGCTTTTACAGGAGTTAGCCCAGGGCTTGTGGCAGAGCTGGGCACCCAGTGGCTGCAGATGTGGGATTGTGTGTTTGTGTGTGCCAGAGAAAATGAAAAGGAAGAAAGATAAAGCACTACCAAAAAAACAAACAAACAAACAAACAAAAAACCTAGAGGAGCTTGAAGGCAACAGGTGGCTGGATTTGTGACCCAGCCCACCTACCTAGAGGGGCCACGTCTCCCTCGTTCTTTCCCTTACCCTCCCTCTGACTGTGGGCAGAGGCGCCCATCGCCACACCCCCCAACCCTGCTTTTCTCAGTGGTCCTCCAAGTTGGGGGGTTGCCCACAGCCACTCCCTGCCTCCTCACATTGGCCCCTTTCCCACCTTCCCACCCGCCTGCCTTCCACTTTCTATTCACATAGGGTGGGGCCTGCCCCCACAATAGAGGCAGCCTGGCTTGCCTTTTTGTTTGTTTTTTGAGGCAGGGTCTCTTTCTGACCCCTAGGCTGGAGTGCAATGGCGCAGTCCCGGCTCACTGCAACCTCAACTTCCTGGACTCAAGCAATATTCCTGCCTCAGTCTCCTGAATAGCTGGGACTACAGTTGCACCCCACAACACCTGGCTAGTTTTAAAAAAATTTTGCCGGGCGCGGTGGCTCACGCCTGTAATCCCAGCTCTTTGGGAGGCCGAGGCGGGCGGATTACAAGGTCAGGAGGTCGAGAACACGGTGAAACCCCGTCTCTACTAAAAATACAAAAACTTAGCCGGGCGCGGTGGCGGGCGCCTGTAGTCCCAGCTACTTGGGAGGCTGAGGCAGAAGAATGGTGTGAACCTGGGAGGCGGAGCTTGCAGTGAGCCGAGATTGCGCCACTGCACTCCAGCCTGGGCGACAGACCGAGACTCTGTCTCAAAAAAAAAAAAATTTACAGAGACAAAGTCTCGCTATGTTGCCCAGGCTGGTCTCAAACTCCTGACCTCAAGTAATCCTCCAGCCTTGGCCTCCCAAAGTGCTGGGATTACAGGTGAGCCACCACGCCCAGCCAGGGCTTGCCTTTTGGAGCTCCACTGGTGCCCAGCTGGAAACTCATTGATGTGATTTATTTATTTATTTATTTATTTATTTATTTATTTATTTATTTATTTTTGCGATGGAGTCTTGTTATGTTGCCCAGGGTGGAGTGTAGTGGCTATTCACAAACATGATGATCATGATGATAGCGCCCTACGGCTTTGAACTCCTGGGCTCAAGCTATCCTCCTACCTCACTTTGTCTAGTAGCTGGGACTAGAGGCACTTACCACCATACCCAGCCACATTGATGATCTTTACAGAAACTGAGACTTCAAGCTAGACCAGCAACCACCTACTTCTGGATGTGGGGAGAGCAATTAGGTAGAATCTGCTAGCCCCAGGCAGTGGGAATTTTTTTTTTTTTTTTTTTTTTTTGAGACAGGGTCTTGCTCTGTCGCCCACGCTGGAGTGCAATGGCGTGATTTTGGCTCACTGCAACCTCTGTTTCCTGGGCTTGAGCCAACTTTGCACCTCAGCCTTCAGAGCAGAGTAGCTGGGACCACAGGCACGTGCCATTACGTCTGGCTAATTTTTGTATTTTTTGTAGAGACGGGGTTTCACCGTGTTGCTCAGCTGGTCTCAAACTCCTGAACTAAAGGGATCTGTCCGCCTTGGCCTCCCAAAGTGCTGGGATTATAGGCGTGAGCCACTGTGCCCAGCCAGCAGTGGATTTTTTAATGCCTCTCTGATAAGAGTGTTTAGTCATTTCTCAAAGATCAAAGCAGGAAACTAAGAAGAAAAGGGAATATGCTTTTCTGCAAATCAAGGTGGACTGAAATTCGGTGGATTATGGCTGCCCTAGAATAAAGGAGGCCAAAGTCGGGCAATGTCTGTCTCTTCCTTTCTTCTACCTCCCTGGACCCTCTCAGACACAGCAGCACTCTGTGTTGGGAGCCTCCCATTGGGCACTCAGACAGCTCTCCCATCTTCTGTCTCCACCAAACCTCCATTGGCAGCTTCCTAACTGCTACCTGTACTGCTGCATAGGCTGCTGCTTCCTACACACCACAGCTGGGCTTTGCTTATTTTGTTACAGACAGGGTCTTGCTCTATTGCCCAGGCTGGAGCAAGCAAAGTGGTGCAATCCTAGCTCAGCAGCCTGAACTCCTGGGCTCCAGTGATCCTCCCACTTCAGCCTCCCAAGTAGCTGGAATTACAGGCACGTGCTACACCCAGCTAATTTTTAAATCATTTCTTTGTACAGACAGGGTGTTGCTTTGTTGCCCAGGCTGGTCACCAACCCCTGGGCTCAAGCAATCCACCCGTTTTGGCCTCCCTGTTACCGGTGGGAGCCACTGCGACCT
Source organism: Homo sapiens (assembly GCF_000001405.40). Lineage (NCBI taxonomy): Eukaryota > Metazoa > Chordata > Mammalia > Primates > Hominidae > Homo > Homo sapiens. Next base: position 3,813,121 of record NC_000020.11, on the reverse strand, counting down.
GCCAAGCTGGGCTTTTCTCCTGTGACCCATCACCTAGAATCTTGTCCATGTGCAGAAAGAAAAGGAAACCTTCAGACTGGCTCCTTTAATTAAATGTTTTCAGGCATGTCCTTTTAACCTTTCTGATCTCCTGTCAATCCCTACATTGGCTCTAAGCAATAATGGCCATAGCAGCCTCTTGTATGGCACTTGCTGTGGATGTCCTTGTTCTTTTTTTTTTTTTTTTTTTGAGACAGAGTCTTGCTCTGTCGCCCAGGCTGGAGTGCAGTGGGACGATCTTGGCTCACTGCAAGCTCTGCCTCCTGGGTTCACGCCATTCTCCTGCCTCAGCCTCCTGAGTAGCTGGGACTACAGGCGCCCACCACCACGCCCGGCTAATTTTTTTGTATTTTTAGTAGAGACGGCGTTTCACTGCGTTAGCCAGGATGGTCCCGATCTCCTGACCTCGTGATCCGCCCGCCTCGGCCTCCCAAAGAGCTGGGATTACAGGCGTGAGCCCCCACGCCCGGCCGCCCTTGTTCTTTTTTGAAACAGAATCTTCCTATGTTGCCCAGGCTGGTCTCCAACTCCTGGCTTTAAGTGGTCTTCTCAGCTTGGCCTCCCAAAGCACTGGGATGCCAGGCATGAGCCACTGCACCCGATCAGCAGGCCCTGTTCTGAGTGCTTTGCACACATCAGCTCATTTGATCTAATCCACAGCCCTGTGAAGTAGGAGCTTTATTATTCCCATTTTACACATGAGGAAATAGAGGCCCAGTGGGATTCAGCAACTATTCTGATGTGACACATGTGTCCTTGGAGGTGTACATATCAGTAGATTTCAGCCTCTACTGAAATCTTCTACTGAAGCCTTCTACTCCCCTTGTGTTTCCCTGTCTCCCCCGGTCCTCTTGTAGTCATCCCAAGGGCTGGCTTAGCTCTCTTCTCCTGGAGCTCTGGAAGGCCATAGCATCCCTGCAAACCCATCCCTGCTCATCCTCCATGACCCAACCCTGAGAGCTCCCTCCCCGCCCTATGCTTGGATGACCTCCTTCCCCAGTGCTCCCAATCCCGACCCAGGAGGCACCCTCCCCTCAGCCATCCTTCAGGAACATAGTCTTGGCTGGGCCCCAGGAGGACCAGGCCATGTGTGATTTGTCCTTTCAAACAGCCGCACTGCCTGCAGGGCTGAGAGCCAGGAGGCCCCACGAGGCAGAGGAGGCCCAGCCACGTGAGGCCCCTCCCTTCCTGCTGCCCCAGGCCCCGCTGACTCAGAGCCTGGCAGTCCTCCCAGGGTTCTGCGTGCCAGTAAGCGCTGGGTGGGGCCAAGGCAACCCTCGCTGCGCCCCTTGGCACCCACACAGACTCCTCCTGTGTGGGGAGGGTGGGAACGCTTCTTACCTTCCGTCCCATAATCAACTGTCTTCTTTGAACAATAGATTGTGAATAATTTCACATCCCGGAACATTCTCTCTCCAGGCATGATTTTCGTGGCTGCAAAACAGCGGCTTCTCCATCATTACGCAACTGGCCTCTCTGATCGTTTCCAGATTGCTCTCGGCCATGCACCTCCTTGTCTAAACTCCGTTCTGCACCACCAGCAGTATCATGGCCTGGGGAGAAGGGGCTGTGTGCTCCATTCCAGGATCAAGACTTTGTAGAAATCATGTTTTCTAGATGGTTGTGGGCTGTTGTCAGCAGAAGGACTCAAGGCAATTAACATACAGCTAATGAACTCCAAAGAGGCGCTTTGATTTTTGAAGAATCTGACTTGAGAACAAATCAAGACTAAGACTAATATAGCCTCATCTTTCAACATAGGAGAGTCGGAAAACAGGCTGAGTCTGCGACACCCAAATGCCTGCCACCACCACATCCCGGTATGTGGGTTCAGCACTTGACAGCTAACAGATCTCTTTGCTAGATACAGCAATCACATTTTCTGGTTAAGGGAGTGAAATTAACATTTACCTTTTTTTTTTTTTTTTTTGAGACAGAGTCTCGCTCTGTGTCCCAGGCTAGAGTGCAGTGGCGTGATCTCGGCTCACTGCAAGCTCTGCCTCCTGGGTTCACGCCATTCTCCTGCCTCAGCCTCCCGAGTAGCTGGGACTACAGGCGCCCACCACCAGGCCTAGCTATTTATTTTTTTGTCTTTTTAGTAGAGGTGGGGTTTCACCGTGTTAGCCAGGATGGTCTTGATCTCCTGACCTGGTGACCTGCCCACCTAGGCCTCCCAAAGTGCTGGGATTACAGGCGTGAGCCACCGTGCCTGGCCTTTTGTTTTTGTTTTTGTTTTGTTTGGAGACAGAGTCTCACTGTGTCGCCCAGGCTGGAGTGCAGTGGAGCAATCTCGGCTCACTGCAAACTTCCCCTCCTGGGTTCAAGGGATTCTTGAGCCTCAGCCTCCTGAGTAGCTAGGACTACAGGCGTGCGCCACCACATCAGGCTAATTTTTGTATTTTTAGTAGAGATGGGGTTTCACCATGTTGGCCAGGCTGGTCTTGAATTCCTGGCATCAAGTGATCTGCCCGCCTCGGCCTCCCAAAGTGCTGGGATTACAGGCGTGAGCCACCGCGCCCAGCAACATTTACCAATTTTGATGAGAATGTGGAACACTAGAACTCTGGGACGCTGTGGGTGGGAAGGTAACGTGGTGCAAGGACCTTGGACAACTATGTGGAAAATACTAAAGTTAAATGTACACACGGTAACCCAGCACTCCACTCCTGGGTATGTTTCCAGCAGTTTGTAACAGGCCCAAATAATCCATCGAGGATAGGATGATTATGTTCTATATCACAACTGTGGTGGGGGTTACACAACTGTATATATTTCCCCAAACTCACAGAACTGTACACTCAAAAGGGGAAATTTTAGCACTAACTTTGGCAGCACATATAATAAAAAAGGGAAAACTTAATTTTACTGCATGTAAGTTTTTCTTTTTAATTTTGAAACAAGCCAGGAGCAGTGGCTCATGCCTGTAATCCCAGCACTTTGGGAGGCCAAGGCAGGAGGATTGCTTGAGCTCAGGAATTCAAGTCCAGCCTGGACAACACGGCAAGATCCTGTCTCTACAAAAAAAAAAAAAAGGAAAAGAAAAATTAGCTGAGTGTGGTGGCACGTACCTGTGGTCCCAGCTACTCGGGAGGCCAAGATGGGAGGATCACTTGAGCCCAGAACGTCAAGCCTGCAGTGAGCCACGTTTGTGCCACCGCACTCCAGCCTCAGCAACAAAATGAGACCCTGTCTCAAAAAAAAAAGAAAAAAAGAAAAAAGAAAAAAAAATTCAGCCTGGGCAACATGGTGAAACCTCATCTCTATAAAAAAAAAAAACACAAAAAATATTAGCTGTGGTGGCATGCACTGATAGTCCCAGCTACTGGGGAGGCTGAAGTGGGAGGATCGCTTGAGCCTGGAAGGTGGAGGTTGCAGTGAGCTGAGATCACGCCACCACACTCCAGCCTAAGCAATAGAGCCAGACCTTATCTTGAAAGAAATAAAAATAAGTAAATAAATAATATATATATATATATATATATATTTTTTTTTGAGAAGGAGTTTCACTCTTGTTGCCCAGGCTGGAGTGCAATGCTGCGATCTCGGCTCACTGCACCTCCACCTCCAGGTTCAAGTGATCTCCTGTCTTAGCCTCCCAAGTAGCTGGGATTACAAGTGCGCCACCACACACGGCTAATTTGATTTTAGTAGAGACAGGGATCACCATGTTGGTCAGGCTGGCACGAACTCCTGACTTTAGGTGATCTGCCTGCCTTGGCCTCCCAAAATGCTGGGATTATAGGCGTGAGCCACCGTGCCTGGCCATAAATAAATATTTTTTAAAAGATAAGAGAAAGAGAGCGCGTGGTAACTCACGCCCGTAATCCCAACACTTTGGGAGGCCAAGGTGAGTGGATCATGAGGTCAGGAGTTCGAGACCAGCCTGGCCAACATTGTGAAACCCCATCTCTACTAAAAATACAAAAAATTAGCTGGGTGTGGTGGTGGGCGCCTATAATCTCAGGTACTTGGGAGGCTGAGGCAGGAGAATTGCTTGAATCCGGGAGTTGGAGGTTGCAGTGAGCCGAGATCATGCCATTGCACTCCAGCCCAGGCGACAGTGTGAGACTCCGTCTCAAAAAAAAAAAAAAAATTAGCTGGGTGTGGTGGCAGGGGCCTGGAATCCCAGCTAATTGGGAGGCTGAGGCAGGAGAATTGCTTGAACCTGGAAGGCGGAGGTTGCAGTGGACTGAGATCGTGCCATTGCACTCCAGCCTGGGCAACAAGAGCAAAACTCCACCTCAAAAAAAAAAAAAAAAAAAGAAGAAAGAGAGTAGGGGTATATTCATACAGTGGAATAGTATGCAGCAATGAAGAAGAAACAAACTCCTGCTACACAGGACAAAATAATGAATCTCAAAATCATTGTGCTGGGTGAAAGAAGCCAGACAAAAGAGTACTGACTGTATAATTTCATTTATAGGAAGCTCATGAACAGATAAAACTAAATTACTGTGACAGAGGTCAAAATAGTAGTTACCTCTGGAGTGGGGGTAACCCGGAGGGAGCCTCCTGAATTGATGGAGATGTCCTACATCTTGAGCTTTGTGGTGGTCCCTTGGGTCTACGCTCCATGCTGAAGATCTGTGCCCTTGATGAAATGTCAATTATTCCTCAATTTTAAAAGAAAACCTTAATTTGTAAAATTGTCATGGCAAAAGTTACCGGGTGAACAATTCAGACAATGGAGTGGATGAAGATTCTTCCCCCTTCCCTCCAGACACTACTGTTCCCCCAACTGGCTCTCTGTGCTTACGCCAGCCTCATGTAGCTCTCTAACCATGTGAGCTGGCAGCACGTGGCTGCTCGGAACTCCTGCAGGCTGGAATTCCTGCCCCACCCTGGCCAAAGCTAAACAACTTTTAAAACTGGCTGGCAGCCTGGGATTTTAAACTGCCTTCCTGCCTGATCCACTTCCCTTTAGCACATCCAGGAAGAAAGTTATAGCTTCTCTTGCTGGGGGGAAGGGAGATGAGACACCTCTGCCCCATCCCCCTGAACTTTCCAGGGCAGAGGGGGTCCCGAGTCAGAAACTGAGAGGCAAGCCCACAGCACCCCCTTTCCCAGGCCCAGGCCCAGGCTCCTGCTTCCTCAGCAGAGATGTCAGCACCAGAGCCTTTTCTTGGGGAAGAGGTGTCTCCTGGCTTGACCAATGCCCGCATCTCTCCCACAAAATGAGCTGAATACCTGTTGGGTGGGCTTAGGAGACATTATATCTAAAAGTGTCTAGAGCATACTAATTGTCCCATGGCTGCAACTAAGACTCTGATGGTGAGTTACAATGGGGACAGATGTGGCCACGGACATCAGCACCTGGCACAAAGCCTGGGCATTGTAGACACTCAGCCCATGTTTCCTCCTCATCACGTGGCCTGATCCCGGAGTGGGAAGAGGACGCTCACAGCAGAAGTGAGGCTGCCCAGCCCCACCCGCCTGGGGGCTCTGGGACTAAGATGGGAGGTAAGGGGGGATGGGATACTCCTGGGAAGGCTGGGATAGCTGCTCTGCTTACATCTTGTGTGTGCCCTGGGGCAAGTGAGTGCCTTCTGTGAGCTTCTGAAGCTGCTTTCGTCTGTGAAACCAGGAGGGAGGGTGGCTTCACAAGACTCCCTAAGCACTTAGGGTGGAGCAGGCATGCCAGCATGATGGCGCCCGGGGCCCATCCTCTCCCCTCCTCCATCTCCCTTTCTCAGGGATCTGCACAGCTGTTTCCCCTTTTCTGGGCAAATCCTCTCACCAAATAAACATTTGCCTTTCTATCGCTGCCTGCTAGGTGGAGGGGACTTCTGAACCCTTGAGGTCCCTTCCCTCCCTGAGCACAGCCCAGCCCCAAGACCAAAACCACACCCCAATAACTCCCACCTATTGTGCCCTTGCAGAGGGCTCTGAACCAGGAGTGAAGACCAAGCTCTTGGGCATAAGAAACTTGAGAGAACAAGCTAGAGATAGCACAAGTGTCCTTTAGACTCAGCATGGGGATCTGGAGTCCCCTTTTTCTGTTCTGATAGGAAATAGCCTCCATTTTCCCATCTGAAAAACGGGGTGGATAATCATTGCATCACCTACTTCACAACATAGATGAACTGTCCCAGAAAGTGGTAATCATGCCTGACATGTGTGTGCACTCTGTGTCAAAGACAGCATCTTATATATACAGATATAAAGGAGTCCCTCCCATCGCACAGCTCCCATTTGTGTGTGGGGGGCTGGGGGGAGGGTCACCTGCAGTGGTATTCAGGGAGGATTTCCTCAGAGATCTGGGTTTGGCCTGGGCTCCCAGATTGGCCCTTTCCCAATTTCTTGAGGGAATGAGGCTGGCGAGGGCCCAAATCTCAAAAGGCCATGCCAGGAGTTTTTCTTTTTTTTTTGAGACGGAATCTCATTCTGTTGCCCAGGCTGGAGTGCAGTGGCGCAATATCAGCTCACTGCAACCTCTGCCTCCCAGATTCAAGAAATTCTTCTGCCTCAGCCTCCCAGTTAGCTGGGACTACAGGTGTGTGCCACCATGCCTGGCTAATTTTTGTATTTTTAGTAGAGATGGGGTTTCACCATATTGGCCAGGCTGGTCTCGAACTCCTGACTTCGTGATCTGCCCACCTCAGCCTCCCAAAGTGCTGGGATTACAGGCGTGAGTCACTGCAGCTGGCTTTAAGTTTATCCTGAGGACAATGGGGAGCCACTGATGATCCTTGAGTGATGAGGTCACTCTTGCCTTTTGGTGCCGAGTTTAGGAAGGGCAAGCCTAGAAGTGCTTGGGAGGCCAGGTGAGGGGAAGGAGGGGTTGAATCCAAAGTCCTGGCAGGAGTGTCACCCAAGAGATGGAAGACATTGGGAGAAGAAGGGACAAGAGCATGAGGGCACCTCTCCAGCAACTCTTCCTGCCTTTGCTGACCCTGTCTCCTACCCCAATCCCGCCATTGGCGGGCTTCTGGGGTCTTGCCCAGGGCCCCACAGGACACAATGCTGGTTTCTCAACTTGCTCAGTGCTTTATTGAACCAAGGCCCTAACAGATGACTCAGCAGGGCCTTCAAGCACAGCCCTGCCCCCATCTTGAGATTCAGAATCCAGAGGGTGCTCAGTCCTTGGTTTAGCTGCTTCTGTGACATTTCCTCTTGAATAGCTCCAAACCCTAAGTGTAAATATTTTTGTCCACACAAATAGGCACACATATATTCCTGCTGCAGGCTGTCATGCTCAACAAAACGCTCCCACCTGGTTTGGGTATGCAAGGCACTGCGCATCCACGGCCATCCACGGCCATCCACCCATCCATCCAACCTTCCATCCATCCGCAACAAGACAGCAGCAAGTTCTGAGCAGTCAGGCCCCAGGGTTCACAGCAGTAGGGGCTGGGCTTCCAGCAGGCTCATGATTCAGGCCTTAACCCTTGCCCTGGGAGCCCCCAAGGATAATAACATCCCTTTCTGGGGCAACAAAACTGGGACCGAGTGGGTAACTGATATTTGACAGGGGAACCTAAACAGTCTACGGAAGTGTCCTGAGATGGGCGTAAAGTCAAACAGACCAAGCACACAGGTAACACTGAAATAGGAAAGAGTAAGAGCTTCTGTTCAGGCTGGAGGTGCTCGTATGGTGGGACAGGAAAGGGGAAAAGAGAAAGGGGCAACATGGCAGACATACCACGGTTCCTACAGAGATTAGGGGCAGCCCTGGCCCGGGAAGTACACAGGGCAGAGAGCTGACTCTCAGGCCAGGAAGGAGTTTAGCTCTGACCCATCCTCAGGGACCACGGCTCTCCCCCAGCCTCAGCTGACACACACACAAAGGAGCGTTTCAGGACACAGGAAGATGAAGGGTTAACCCTAACAAGGAAACAAGAAGCTCCTGGAGGACACAAAATACTGCCTTTAAGCTGGTATTAACCCAACTTAACTAACTCAACAGACTGGGCTCTTCCAGGGGTGGGGGGCACCAGGATATGGAAAATGATGGGATGACACAGGGGAATCTGGGCTGGGGCAGACAGGCAGGACACCCACACCATCTTTCCCATGGACAGCACCTGAGGCCTCCAGCAGGCCCTCAGCCCGGCAGGCCCATAGGGCAGCTGGCTTCAGGCCTCGAAAGGCAAGGGAGGTAGCAGGACTGGCGCAGGCCCCTCACTGGTCCTGCAGCCGGCTACAGAGCTCCCGCCGGCTCCGCTCCCCAGCCCAGCTGCGAGTCTTGAGGCGGAAGGTCTTTAGCTCATCCTTGAAGGCCTCGTGGTTCATGGGCCGGTAGTCCTGGGGTTCACAGAAGTTCTAGGGCAGGACAGGAGGGGTCAATGCAGTGGAATGGGTAAGTTTGGCAGGGACCCAACCCTCCCACCCCCCATCCCATGGCTCCAGCCTGGCCAAGCCAACCCTCACACAGAGACTGTGGCCTTCCCCACCCACGCTACCGGGTGCTGAGGGAAGAACTCCTTGTAGCCGCCTTTCAGGATATACATCTCAGGGTAGTAGAGGCTGGGGTAGTCGTTGACAGCACGGTCTCGTTCCCTGATGAAACGGCACCTGGGGCGTCATGGGCAGGGTGTGGTCAGAGTGGGGCATGCAGTGGCTTGTACATCATGGGACCTATCCCCCACGTCCCCTCCTTTGAGGGCCTTGGGGAGCCACAGAAAGCTTTAGAGCACAGGAATGTAACCACAAGAACACTTTTAGGTCACTCTGGCTACAGAAGAGGGTGGGGAGGCGGAAGGAAGGAGGTAAAATCAAGGGGATGAACTCTCCGTTTCTAGAAGGCAGTTGCACAATCTTTGTTAGAGATATCTGTGCCTGGACCAGGAAAGGAGAAGCAGGAGAGGAGACAAGTGGGCCAAATTCAAGGGATCCATTCGGGCCACTCCTGGACAAGACCTGGTGAGGATCAGTGGTGGGGAGAAGGGAGGAGGAGGACCCAAGACTGAAGCCAGTGCCCAGGCCCGGTGCCCAGGTGGAGGTGGGTGCCATATGCTGGGATGCCTGGAGAAGTTGGGAGGGCCGCAGGGATGCGACTCTGTAAGGGGCGTCTGGGTGCAGATTCCCACCACATGGGTGAGGCCAGGCTGGGGAGCCACTAGCAGTCATATGGACCAGTGGCAACCCAGGAGGAGGCAGGGGTGGGAGGACAGATGGCCAGGCAGAACAGGAATAGCGACAGAAGGAGCTCAGCCAGGGAGGCCCAGGTGCTGTGGATGCCAATGGAAGAGGTTCTAATGGAGACCTAACAGCACTGAACATGGGGAGGGTCCGTGTACTGGGGACTGACACGCGGCCCTTAGATTTCGAGAAAAGACACCGCTAGAGACTTGGAACTAAATTTTCTGAGGGTGGCAGTAATGGATGTGGGGTGGACATGAGGCTTGATAGGCAGGACAGTGAGGGAGATGGGAGGCGGGTACCATGCACAGTGAAGTGGGGCTGAGGTCAGCTCTAGGCCATCAGATGGGACAGAGGAGGACCTGGACTTGCACCCCTGGCCATCTCAATGGTGCCAGCACCTGTGAGCCTGGGCAGGGAAGGCCAGGGCAGACACTAGCTGGCTGGGCGGAGCTGGGACTCACATGCGGGGCCCACGCTCAGATGAGAATTCACAGTGGAAAATGAGGATGACTCTCTTGTCCAGGCTACAGGGCGCGATGGGGCTCTTCAGTAGGAAGCTCTCGGCGTCGCGTTCCAGGGGCAAGTTCACCGCAGTCTGTCAGAGGAGCCAGAGGTCAGGCACAGCCCCGGGTCCAGGAGTCAGGGCCCTCCCCGTGCAGTCGCTGTCCTTCTCTTAGTAGGAACCCTCCCCATGAGAGGGGGCACCCGTCCTCCACCCATTCACCCTCTTGGCAAAGCAAGGACCTAAACCAGGTGGGATCTTCAGGGCCTCTCCCCATTGCCCCATCTTACCTTGATGTGCCCGCCTTCATATTCATAGGGGTATCTGCAGTCTACAATCACAAACTTATCCACGATGTTGCTGAACTTGCCCGTCAATAGGGCCACCATCTGTAGGAGGTCATGGGGGTTGGTTCCGGCAGGTCAGGCTGGCAGCTGGCAGGTGGCCCTAGCCTGTCCCCAGGGAAGGTCAACAATGGAGCTACAGTCCCAAATCTGCCTAGAAAATGACGCAACGCTGTTTACCGTTTCTGGTGAGATGTACTTGAGGTCTTGGTGCTTTCCGTCTACTGTCTGTAGGAGGAAGGCCTGAAGGGAACGGAAGGGATGAGGGAGAGGGGAGAAAGTTAAATTGGTAAGACCAGGAGCCTCAAAGAATGAAGTTTCATTCCCAAAATCAGAGGCCACACCTGCTTTGGCCTTCAAATTCAGTTCTGGTTCCCATGGCAACTGAGAGGCACCTCTTGGGTCTGACACCCAGGGAACAACCTTCCAAGGGGAAAGAGAAATGAAAAAGGGAAGTGGAAGAGATGAACTCCACACTCTGCTCCCTACCCTCTGCCAAGCCCGAAGGTGAGGCATGAGGGGGTTCCAAGCTAGGTATGAGCTTGGAAATAAGACGGAGACTCAACAGATGCCTGGACTGACTTGAGGTGGAGTCAGGAGACAAGGAGGGCCAGAGGGAGGAGTCTATGTGAGAACAAAGGATGAAAAGATACAAAGGACAAAGAAAAGGGGGGCTCCGGGGAGAAAGGGAGGAACCCAAGCAGCCCCTGGGCTAGAGGACCCCTAGTCAGTAAGAGGTCAAGCCCCCAAGGTACCCCCTTCGCTGCTGCAGGTACCTTAGAGTAATCTCCAATCAGCTCTCGGTGGTCACTGTCCAGGAGGTTCTCGATCTCATCGTGACACAGTGATTTTGAGCGGAGGACGCGGGCTTTCTGGAAAGTGAGTCAGATGGAGGCCAGGGTCAGGGTGGGGCTGCCCCCCAGTGCTCTGGCTGGCTGGTACCCCCTTTCTCTGCCATGCCCAGGCTGCCACCTGCCCTCTGCCACAAACTTAGCCAAGGGGGTGGCTGCCCAGGTGCATGCCAAAGTGAACCCCAGGAGGAAGGCACTCACAGGTTCCTCAGCCTCCTGCTGCTCCTCAGGAGGGGTCACGCTCCGCCTCCGCTTATTCTGCACGGGCGTGTCCCTGTCCTGGGGCCGCTCCAGCCTCTTGAGGATGGGCCGGATCACGCTGCAGGGCATGGACGGAGAGCGGAAGAGCCGCTGGCACTTGCTGTACATGACGAGGTCCTGGCAGGGACAGCAGGTTAGGGATCAGGGTGCCCAGGCCCCGTCCCATCCCTCAAATCCACTGGAGAGTAGGATGGACCCCATGCCTCCAAATTCGGAGGGGGCCACCCCAGAGGCCCACCTTTTCCTCTTCCTTTTCCAAGGTCTTGACCAGTGGGGCACTAATGAGACTCTCCATGCCTGGGGGAACTGCATCATCATCCTGAGGCCAGATTAGCAAGGACAGGGTCACAACCCACAGGCATAGGCCAAACCCCTCCAGTCCCGGAATCCTCCAGCACAGCCTTCCCTGTTTCCCTGGCAAACTCCAGGTTGGGGTGAGAAGCTCCCCTACCTCCCAAACCGCCCTCCACTGTGGCACCAGCCACCTGTTCTTCTCTCATTGGCCAGAGGTTAGGCTGTGACTCAGTTACCTCAGATTCTTCTTCTGACACTGGAATGACATCATGGTCCTGCCACAAGGGCTCAGAGCTCTCTTCTTTTGGGCGAACCCAGGGATAGGAAGGTAGGGGCCTGGTGGGACAAGGCTGTTTACCTTTAAGTCACTCTCTAGGATGTCCACAAATCCATCATCTTCCTCAGTATCCCCCTCTGCAGGGGTCAGAGAGAAGCGACCTAGGGCCAGGGGGCTGAGCTCCTCCACTTCCATCTTCCGGTCAGGACTGAGACACTGTCCACATGACAGACAGACACAGACTTAGAGGTGGAGATAGTTCCCGCCCCCATCCTCCTGAGGAAAAGTTCCCAGTGCCTGGGGGTTCAGGGCCACCCTCCTCTTCTCCGAGGCTGCCTCCCCAGGCCCCTCCCAGGGATCCGCTCTCTGGATGTACCATCAGGTCGGGGGCCGAGCTGGGTCTCTGGGCAAAGGCTTCCCTGCGGCTGGCCCACTCTGCCAGAGCATGGGTGGAGCTGGGATGTGTGGGCTTCCATGGCATCTTGAAGACAAATCCATCCTGCAGCCAAGATGGGAGAGGAGGGTCCTCACATGCCAGGGAACCACCCCAGCATGCCCCCTCCTCTTCCCGGAGAGCTCCCACCCCGGCCTTCCAGAAGCGCACATTCTCCTTGTCTTCCCCAGAGCTGCTGGCAGCTCCACTGCCCGCCTCGCTCTTCCTCCGGCCGTCGGGCGCCTGGGAGTTGGTGATGTTCCGAAGCACGGGGCTGTGGCCCAGCAGCCTCACCTAGAGAGCCAGGCAGGGCGGCAGGCAGAGGAATGAAGGCTGCATTCCTCCGGCACGAGCCCAGGCCCTACCTTCTCCACCTCTCCTCCAGCTCCTCCCACTTACCTACCTACCTCTGAAACCCCATCTCCTACAGCCTGCCTGGGGACACCCAGCTGGGAGGTGATCCCTGAATGCATCCTGCTCATCTACCCCATGCCTGGCTAGCATGCCTAAGCCTCAGTCAGGCCTCGAAGACACTCACCGGCATAGACTGGAAGCGTCTGATGGCAAACTGCTCGCTACAGGAGGAAATGGGGACAGGTGAGAGCTGGGAGAGGCAGGGCAGGGACCAAGAGCATGCAGCATGCCCTTCTGGAGCCCTGTCCTAAGGGAAAGCTTGTGGTAGATGGAAGAGGCCCAGGAACACTTACTTTCGAATGATCCGGCTGGCTGCCTGGATGGCCTGTTCAAACCTAGGACAGAGAAGGGTCCCATGCAACCCATGCTCCCTCCGCACCCATCACCCACCCCAGCACCAGGCCCCCAGTCCAGGGGGGAGTAAGGGCAAAGACAAGGGCCAAGGCTCAAGGCAGTGGAAGGGGTGGGGTGGGAAGAACGCCCACCATCAGGGGGCCCAGGTATTGGGGAGGGGGAAGATAAGAGGCAGCTTGGAATTTTAAAGGCTGCCCTGAATGAAAGAAAGCCCAGAGAATGGCAGTGATAGAGACAGCTGGGGCAGGTCAGGGTCAGGGAGGCGTCACCAAGGCAACAGTCTCGCCAGCCTGCACCAGGCCTTCCACCTGTATGCAAATCACCTCAGCGGGGCCATATGGCTGCCAGGAAAGGCATCCATCCATCCTATGATAGGCCAGGGGCACCCAGCAATGTGGGTGTCTCCAGGGCCTGGACAACAGCAAGGCTAGGCTTCCTCTCCCCTGTGAGGAGCTGGCCTGGCTCCCGGTCCTCTGAGGACTGGGGCCTGCTTTAGGGCTCCCCCAGTCAGCTCCAGTCTGATACAGTAGACCCCCAGTGACAAACGTGCAGGCTCACATCCTCTCCTCCCTCCTATGGAATTTTCCAGGACCAGCCTCTGTCCCACCCCCTCCTCCTGCCTTAGAAGAGGCCAGCAGGCAAGGAATTCCAACACATGTTCCCTCTGAGGCCCCGCCCCCTCAGCCGTGTTACAGGAGACCACCTGCCACGCGGAGCTTTTGTGCATCTACGCGCGCGCGCGCACACACACACACACACACACACACACACACACACACACACAGCTTCTGAGAAACTCTGTATAACTGTCAGAGCAGGTGCAGGGCAGGGAACCACTCAGGGATAAAGTATGAGGGGGATGCCCCCCCGGGGGGCTGCTGTGCCCAGCCAACCTGGCATCAGGGATGACCAATTTCATTGGCTTGCACATGGGCCTTGGGGGTAGGGCAAGATTGCTCTGTGCTGCCACCAAAACCAACCTGCAGTCCCCCAACCCCACCCAATCCTCTCCCCATTTCCTGTTTGTGAACCAATCTGCAGCCCAACCCAGTCTGATCAAAGGCAATGGGAGGTAAGACAAGTCACTATCCTAAACCCAAAGCCACAGTCCCCAGCACAGGCCAGAGATGCCCAGCTGTCCCTACTAATGGCTGGCAGCTGCCCCGCTGCTTGGGCTTTAACAACTGGATGGGAACAGCTGTGCTCTGGAAGACACCACCCATGCCCACAGCCAAGGGGATGGTCTGTCCAGGCCAGAGCCCACCAACTCTCTCTCCATTCCCTTGCAGAAAGGGCCTAGACCAGGGCTGGCCAGAGGGTAAAGTGTCATCGAAGTCAGAGGTTGCTGATCGGCCAAGAGCCAAATCAATCTGCAGGCAACTGTGTTTTGTTTGGCCTAGAGTGAGTTAAAGTTTTGAATTAGTTGGATCATATTTTTAAATTGTAATATTTCACAGAAAAAAATGGGTATAGGCAAGAAAGAAAAACGGGACATACGCTGGGCTTGTATTCCTGCAAGACATGGGCTGTAGTCTAGTATCTGCTCTCCCAGTGGCCACTGTCCCCACTATCCCTGGCCCTGAGCCCACACTCGGTTGGCTCCCATGAGAGCAGATCCTTCTCTGAGACAGGGAGCAGAATGCCAAGGCCTGAGAAAGTCAGTGAGCCCCCCGGCCATGGGGATCCTGAAGCCACCCCATGGTCTGTCTGCTTTCCCAGGCCTCCCGGGTGAATTTATGGTAGAACTAGGATTCTTAAAGACAGGTGCTGAATGCTTGGAAGTACACATTCCCTTCTCTACTCACGTCTGCTCCGCCATGTGGGGGTCCATAGGGCTGGGGGAATCCATGCAGAGACCTGAGGGGACAGAGCACCTTGGTTTGAAAGTAGTGGCACTTTCTGTATTCTTTCCCCCACCATGTCCCAATATGAAAAAAAAAAAAAAAAAAAAAACAGTTTCTAGTTTGGACTTTGACACATTAGAAAATGAAACAAAAACCCAACCATGGACCCTGAGAGCTGACACATCGTCCCCCAGACGGTACAGGGCTCCACTCCCTGTTTACTATGGAAATTCCTTCATATGCGTCTTTAAACCACAATGCTCACTAAGCATTTTTCTTGAACTGGTTTAAAATAATTTGTTCTAGAAGAGACAACAGATTTTTAAAGAAGAGGTTATAGGCTAAGAATGTTTTAAAGACCAACTCTCAGCCCTGGGTGCTTCCCAGGTAGGGTTGTGGTTTAGGAACTCTGGAGCGTGGTTTTACATAGGTAAGATCTCATCTCCGTAGAGGGCCCCACCCTCTCATCCACTCAGCCAGTCCGCGTTGGGTGTGGTGAGCCCCACAAGAGGTGTGTCTTCCTCCCATTTCTGTGGAGGGTGGGGGAGAGGCTCCTGGGCCCACCAGGTTGTGGGGAGGATGTTAGTTTGATCGGCAGGGAAATTGGGAGGCCCAGGCAGCCCCCACAAACTCTCCTGACACAGGCAGATCTCCCCAGGCTCCCCTGGGCCTCACCTGCATCAGAAGATTCGGAGGATTCAGACGACAGGGAGGATTCGGATGCCCGTCGAGACAGGGATAGGTGCGTCAGGCGGCTGCGGCTGCGGAAGAGCAGGGTCCCTACCTGACTCTTTGGGGTTTCGCTGGGAAGGGAACAGGGACCCGGGAAAGGAGAAAGGTAAACGTGGGGCTCAAGGCCTGGCTAGCCCACGTTCCCACTCCCTTGCTGAGAAAAGAACTGAGCGAAACACTACACCGGGAAAGCAATGGCCCTGAGGGCCCCCTCTTCTCAGGTCAAGGAAGGTTCATTCTACAGAGGCCCTAAAGCGTCTTCTCTTCGTTGACTGGTTTAGGAAAGGTCCTCTCAGGAGCAGGGCAAGGTGAGCCCAGGGTGTGAGCAAGGCTGCCTGGCTGGAGGCCAGCCTAAGGGTTGGTGGTCTAGCAGAGCCGCCCCAGAGAGCCTTCCCCTAAACTGTCAGACCCCCACCTTTCCAGGACCCTTCCTGAAGGATGGACCAAGACCAGGTTCTCCTACTGGAACAACCCAGCTCTCCCCTTGCAGACTTAGGGAGCAGGATCAGTGTTTAATTAATTGTCTTAATTCTGGGGGCAGAACTGGGGTGGAGGGAGCAGGGGCATGGATGTGTGAGTGCTCCACGGCTCTGCCACCCTTAAGTTCCCTCTCCAGGCTTGAGATTCCCATCCTGGGGCAAAATGGTGGCTATCCGGGCAGAGATTACGGAGGCAGCGTGGTGGAGGCACAATGAGGGAGGAGGGAGTGAGGGGAAAGAAGATTTGGAGAGGCTTGTGCAGACTGAGAGCAGGTCACCTGGAGGTGTGGGGGGCACAGCCCAGGTCTCACTTCCCATGTCCTGGGCCCCTAGGAGGGAACAAGGGCGTACCTCTCCACTGCTCAGGATGCCTCCCCGGACTCCACCTCCTGGATTCGACTACCATGCCCAGTTCTCCAGGAGGCCCAGGACTCCAGACCTAGCCTCTCACCCCCATATGCAGCCTCCTTGGGGTGTCCTACCTGCCGAGCCCGGCGAGGTCGTGCATGGTCTGGGTGAGGGTGGTGACCGGCGAGGAAGCGGCCGCCCGCACCGGGGACCCCAGGAGGCCATGAGATCCCAGCAGGAGGCCCGGGAGGTGGCCCGGACGCTGGGCGCCACCGCACACGCCTGCTGGACTGAGAGCCGAGCCTGGCGCGGGCTCCGGCTGGGGCACCTCCATCGCGGCGGGGCCGGCAGAAGGCTGGCTGGAGGGCCGGGCGCAGGGCAGCCAACAAACGCCGGCACAGCTGGCTGGGCCGAGGGAGGCAGCGGGCGAGGGGTGGGGGGGGGGGGAAGGAGGGAGGGAGGAAGAGCCACAGGGCCAGGCGCGAGGGAGGAGAGGGATGCGGGGAGGGCGGGGGGCGAGGGACGCCGGGCTCAGGCACCAGCCAGGGAAGCCTCTAGTTGCAGCTGCCACTTCCACCTCCTTATATATTCGAAAAATAACAGCAGCCGCGCCGCCGGACGCCACCAATGGGGTAGCGGGTTAGATGAGGGCGGGACTGAGGGCGGGGCCCGCAGGGCAAGAGGCGCGGAGGCTGGATTTCCAGGCTTTGGGTGGGCCGGAGGAATTAAGATTTATCCCACACCCTCGCACATCCCCCTGGCGCGAGGATCCCGGCCTCCCAAAATCCGCCTCTCGCGACATGGTTTGGAGCTCCACACTCCCAAAGGCAGCAGCAACGCCCTAGGGTGGCCTCCGCAGGACCCCCCGCGGCATGTCGTCACCTGGGATCACCGCTAGGGATGGGGAGAGGCTCCAACTGGCTCCCGGAAGTTTGCTAAACCCAGCTGGGCTGTACGGTCTGCGTTAGACACCCCATTTTACAGACCTGGACGCTGAGGCGTGAAGTTCATTAACTCAATCAAGGTCACGCGGTTGGGCAGGCGGTGGGCCAGGATTCGCTCGCTCCAGGCGCCTCTGACCGCGCAGCCTCCCCGCCTCCGCGACTGGCTGCGCTGAGCAGCAGCAAAACGTCATTCGCAGGAGAAGCGCCCAGCGTAGGAGGTGGGAGGGCAGTGGGGCCCCCAAGCGGAACTGATGGGCTCTTTCGCGGGACCCCAGGTTAGATGTTACCCCAACCGGCCCAATTTTCGCGGCAGCCCCAGGAGAGGCTCTAAACGGTGGAACTAGGAATGGATTTCCGCGGCTGGGGGTCGAGGAGGGTGTCAGCAACCAGAGAGGCGAATTAAGTATCACGCCCATTGATGATTTGGCTAACTTGGTGCCAATGGCACCATATTATTTAATTGGTGTTTCTTTGATGACCAGACCAGGGAGGCTGAATTTGTCATTCGTTTTAAGCGGAGCAGCTTCCAATTATCTTTCTTTTTGTTTTGTTTTGTTTTTTTTGGGATGGAGTCTCCCTCTGTCAACCCGGCTGGAGTGCAGTGGCCATCTCTGCTCACTACAACCTCCGCCACCCGGGTTCCAGCGATTCTTCTGCCTCAGCCTCCCGAGTAGCTGAGACTACAGGAGCGCGCCACCACGCCCAGCTAATGTTTGTATTTTTAGTAGAGACGGGGGTTTCACCATATTGGCCAGGCTGGTCTCGAACTCCTGACCTCGTGATCCACCCACCTAGGCCTCCCAAAGTGCTGGGATTACACGCACGAGCCACTGTGCCCGGCCCATCTTCCAATTATCTAAATGCCTTCCAGCCCCGCTCGTTTTCCAGGCCTCCTGGAACAAGAGGCCTGAAGGCTGCACCCAAAAGCCGGTGGGTAGTGAGCAGCTTTCGCATCCTGTCTCCCCAGGTTAGAAGTGGCCTCTGGCTGGGCGGGTGGTGGTGCGGGGGGCGGGCTGCAGCTCAGCAAGGCAGGAGTACCCCTTCTCGTGCAGTCCCAGCCACCCAGACCCAAGGTGCATTGGATGGGGGTGGCAAAAGGGAGGGCCTGGTGATGGGGGGCTGGGTGGGCCAATGCATCTGAAGGGTAGGGGAAGACCCCAGCCCCACCTGAGAGGGGTGGCCAAGGTGGGAACGTGACCTTTCCTTTTCTCCAAATTTTGCCCAGCTCCTGTGCTGTGCAGAGGGCTCTGCAAGACTGAATTTCCGGTTCATCCTCCCTGGGTCAGGGGTTATGCCCTGGACCTCCAGCCACTACTTCCAGTGAGGATGTGACTGCCCTTAGTGCCAGGAGGGAAGGGGGAAGTGTCCTTGTAAAGCCACCCAGCCCAAAAACCAGAAAAAAAAAACTGCCCCGAGATTTGCATTTTCAAAATAAACACAACAGGTATCCCCCCCACCCCCCACCCAGCCAATATACATCTGCACAGGGTGTATGTGGCAGGGCAGGCATTATACTATTGAATCCCTTGAAATCCCACAGTCAAAAAACACATGAAAAAATGCTCATCATCACTGGCCATCAGAGAAATGCAAATCAAAACCACAATGAGATACCATCTCACACCAGTTAGAATGGCAATCATTAAAAAGTCAGGAAACAACAGGTGCTGGAGAGGATGTGGAGAAATAGGAACACTTTTACACCGCTGGTGGGACTGTAAACTAGTTCAACCCTTGTGGAAGTCAGTGTGGCGATTCCTCAGGGATCTAGAACTAGAAATACCATTTGACCCAGCCATCCCATTACTGGGTATATACCCAAAGGATTATAAATCATGCTGCTATAAAGACACATGCACATGTATGTTTATTGCGGCACTATTCACAATAGCAAAGACTTGGAACCAACCCAAATGTCCAACAATGATAGACTGGATTAAGAAAATGTGGCACATATACACCATGGAATACTATGCAGCCATAAAAAATGATGAGTTCATGTCCTTTGTAGGGACATGGATGAAATTGGAAATAATCATTCTCAGTAAACTATCGCAAGAACAAAAAACCAAACACCGCATATTCTACTCATAGGTGGGAATTGAACAATGAGAACACATGGACACAGGAAGGGGAACATCACACTCTGGGGACTGTTGTGGGGTGGGGGGAGGGGGGAGGGATAGCATTAGGAGATATACCTAATGCTAAATGACGAGTTAATGGGTGTAGCACACCAGCATGGCACATGTATACATATGTAACTAACCTGCACATTGTGCACATGTACCCTAAAACTTAAAGTATAATAATAATAAAATAAAAAAATAAAATAAAATAAAATAAAATTCTCTAAAACCAAAAAAAAAAAAACAGAAATCCCACAGTCAGGTCACCTCTGGGCCAGTGAGGGGGGAGGTGGGCAAGACCACAGAGGGGTTCTGGGTTTTTTTGTTTGTTTGTTTGAGATGGAGTCTCGCCCTGTCGCCCAGGCTGGAGTGCAGTGGCATGATCTCGGCTCACTGCAACCTCTGCCTCCTGGGTTCAAGCGATTTTCCTGCCTCAGCCTCTCGAGTACCTGGGATTACAGGTGCCCGCCACCATTCCTGGCCAATTTTGTATTTTCAGTAGAGACAGGGTTTTGCCATATTGGCCAGGCTGGTCTCGAACTCCTGACCTCAGGTGATCCACCCACCTCGGCCTCCCAAAGTGCTAGGATTACAGGCGTGAGCCACTGCGCCTGGCCCACATACATAATTTAAAATATTCTAGTAGCCACATTTAAAACAGTAAAAAAGAAACATGAAATTACTGTAATATTTTATTCAATGTAATGTATTCAAAATATTATTCGACATGTTATCAATATAAATTAATGAGATATTTTACATTTTTGGATATCAAGTCTTCAAACTAGTATGCATTTTACACCCCCAGCACATCTCAATTTGTACTTGCAACATTTAAAGGGCTCAATAGTGCTGGCACTGTGGCTCACACCTATAATCCCAGCAACTCCAGAGCCTGCTGCAGGACAATTGCCTGAGGCTAGTAATTCAAGACCAGCCTGGGCAATATGGTGAAACCTTGTCTCTACAAAACATTTTTTAAAAACTTAGCCCGGTGTGGTGGCCCCTGCCTATAATCCAAGTGACTCGCTGGGCACGGTGGCTCACACCTGTAATCCCAGCACTTTGGGAGGCCGAGGCAGGTGGATCACAAGGTCAGGAGTTTGAGACCAGCCTGGCCGACATGGTGAAAACCTGTCTCTACTAAAAATACATACATTAGTTTGGCCTGGTGGCACCGACCTGAAATCCCAGCTACTCGGGAGGCTGAGGCAGGAGAATCGCTTGAACCTGGGAGGCGGAGGTTGCAGTGAGCCTAGATCATGCCATTGCACTCCAGCCTGGGCGAAAAGAGCAAGACTCCGTCTCAAAAACAGACAAACAAACAAAAAATCCAAGTGACTCTGGAGGCTGAGGTAGGAGGATAGCTTGAGCCCAGGAGTTTGAGTCTGCAGTGAGCCATAATTCCACCACTGCACTCCAGCCTGGGCAACAGAGTGAGACTTTGATTCTAAACATAAAATAAATAAATTAATAGTTCAATGGCCACTTAGGGTTAGTGGCTGCAGGTCTATATCTTTACAAGCGTAAATCCGTCTGTATTTTAAAGAATATACAAACAGCATATGAACATTGTTCTAGGCTGGCATGCTGGCTCACACCTGTAATCCCAGTACTTTGGGAGGCCAAGGTAGGTGGATCACCTGAAGTCAGGAGTTCAAGATCAGCCTGGGCAACATGGTGAAACCCTGTCTCTACTAAAAATACAAAAATTAGCCAGGCATGGTGGCATGTGCCTGTAATCCCAGCTACTTGGGAGTCTGAGGCAGGAGAATCACCTGAATCCAGGAGGCGGAGGTTGCAGTGAGCCAAGATCGTGCCACTGCACTCCAGCCTGGGTGACAAAGTGAGATTCTGTCTCAAAAATAAATAAATAAATAAAAATAAAAACCACTGTTCTATACCTTTCTTCTTCTTACTTGGAGATGGATCCATATTAGTACCATAACAATATATATTTACTCAAGCCCCTAATGCTGAACATTTAGGATATTAGCTTTTACAACGATGCAGTAAGTATGCCCTTATGTGTCTGTGTGCTATCTACAAGATGAATTCCTAGGGAGGAACTGATGGGAGGCACAGCATTTAGTTTGTTTTCTGTTTTTGTTTTGAGTCCAAGTCTCTCCGTCACCCAGGCTGGAGGGCAGTGTTAAATCTCGGCTCACTGCAACATCTGTCTCCTGAGTTCAAGCAATCCTCCCACCTCAGCCTCCCAAGTAGCTGTGACTACAGGCGCATCCCACTATGCTTGGCACATTTTTGTATTTTTTGGAGAGACTGGGTTTTGTCATGTTCCCCAGGCTGGTCTTGAACTCCTGGGCTTAAGCGATCCACCAGCCTCAGTCTCCAAAAGTGCTGGGATTACAGGCATGAGCCACCACACCCAGTAGCATTAAGTATTGAAATCTCCTTTTCCCTTTCTTGAATCTCATCTCAAGCTGACTGGACTATTGAAGGACAAGGACTAAATCATTTACCTCTCTCCCAGGCTCCCAGAACCTTGCTCCCAGAACTTTGGTTCAAGACCAAAGTTGGCCCCTGACCCTAATATCCCACTTCTCAGCATTTCTCTTAAGGAGATGATAAAAGTACACACAGATGTATGTTCGTTGAGTTATTGTCTTCAATAGGGGAGGTGATTCCTTTGCACTGTGCAATACATGCAACCTTTAAGGAGAACGGGCAGTCAGGTGGGGATGCCTGCTTGGTAGGGGCTCATTATTGAAAGACTACATGTTGAGATCATAGCAAATGGACTTCTGAACAAGTTTCCTAGAGTAAAAGAAGTGTGGGTGGTGGCTCATGCCTATAATCCCAGCACTTTGGGAGGCTAAGGAGGAAGACTCGCTTGAGCTCAGGAGTTCGAGACCAGCCTGGGCAACATGGTGAAACTCTGTCTCTACAAAAAATACAAAAATTAGGCCAGGTGCGGTGGCTCACGCCTGTAATCCCAGCACTTTGGGAGGCCCAGGCAGGTGGATCACCTGAGGTCAGGAGTTTGAGACCAGCCTGGCCAATATGGTGAAACCCTGTCTCTACTAAAAATACAAAAATTAGCCAGGTATAGTAGTTGGCGCCTATAATCCTAGCTACTTGGGAGGCTGAGCAGGAGAAATGACTGAACCTACGAGGCAGAGGTTGCAGTGAGCTGACATTGCACCATTGCACTCTAGCCTGGGTGACCTCGTGATCCACCCGCCTCGGCCTCCCAAAATGCTGGGATTACAGGCGTGAGCCACCGTGCCCAGCCCGAGATGTTAACTTTTAAGCAAATCTTTTTTTTTTTTTTTTGAGACAGAGTTTCTTGAACCTGGGAGGCGGAGGTTGAAGTTGAAGTGAGCCGAGATTGAGCCACTGCACTCCAGCCTGGGCGACAGAGTGAGACTTGGTCTCAAAAAAAAAAAAAAAAAAAATTCCAAAATGGACTGTGGTGACAGTTGAGCACATCTGTGAACTGTACACTTTAAATGGGTGAATTGTATGCTTCTTGAAATATATCTTAATAAAACCTTTTTTTTTTTTGAGACAGAGTCTCACTCTGTCACCCAGGTTAGAGTACAGTGCCGTAATCTCGGCTCACTGCAATCTCTGCCTTTTCTTTCCTTCCTTCTTTCCTTCTTTCTTTTTCCTCCTTTCTTTCAAAACAAAGTTTGTTACCCAAGCTGTAATGCAGTGGTGCAATCATAGTTCATTGCAGCCTCATGCTCCTGGGCTCAGGTGATCCTCCGGCCCACCCCAGCCTCCCTAGGAGCTAGGACTACAGGCGCAAGGCACTATGCCTAGCTAATTTTTTTTTTTTTTGAGACAGAGTCTTGCTCTGTCGCCCAGGCTGGAGTGCAGTGGCGCGATCTCCGCTCACTGCAAGCTCCACCTCCCGGGTTCACGCCACTCTCCTGCCTCAGCCTCCTGAGTAGCTCGGACTACAGGCGCCCGCCACCATGCCCGGCTAATTTTTTGTATTTTTAATAGAGACGGGGTTCCACCGTGTTAGCCAGGATGATCTCGATCTCCTGACCTCGTAATCTGCCCACCTCGGCCTCCCAAAGTGCTGGGATTACAGGCATGAGCCACCGCGCCCAATGTTGTTCTCTTTATTTTTATTATTTATTATTATTTTTTGGCCGGGTGAGGTGGCTCACGGCTGCAATCCTAGTACTTTGGGAGGCCAAGGTAGGCAGATCACTTGAGGTCAGGAGTTTGAGACTAGCCTGGCCAACATGGTGAAACCCTGTCTGTACTAAAAATACAAAACTAAGCCAGGTATGGTGGTGTACACCTGTGATCCCAGCTACTCAGGAGGCTGAAGCAGGAGAATTGCTTGAACCAGGGAGGAGGAGGTTGCAGTGAGCTGAGATCACGCCACTGCACTCCCAGCCTGGGCAACACAGTGAGACTCCGTCTCAAAAAAAAAAATTAAAAATTAGCCAGGCATGGTGCCTCATGCCTGTAGTCCTAGCTACTGAGGAGACTGAGGCTGCAATGAACTATGATCGTGCAACTGTACTCCGTCCTGGGTGACAGAGCTAGACCCTGTCTCAAATAAACAAAAGGAGAATGGAAAGCTTGCTGAGGGGCCTGAAGGACAGCTCTGGGCAGGCTGGACCAAAAGAAGAGAAGGTGAGTTATGGATTTCCCAAACAGTCCTAAAAGCAGAAAGCTGGGACTTACAGAAAGAGGTGGGGAAGCCCGGGGCCTCAGATGGATTGCTGGGGGAAATGGTCACTTGAGAGGGGATGGAAATGGGCCCCGTGCACTGCTACAGGCAAAGGGTAGACGAGGTATCTGGAAATGGCTATGACATCAGCATATGATGGGCGTGGCTTTTCTGTCCTAGAAGTAATTGTGCCAATGCCCTTTGTATGGCACTAAGGAGGGGCCACAGGAAAGGAAAGGAAAGGAAGAGAAAGGAAGGAAGGAAAGAAAGAAGGAAAGGAAGGAAAAGAGAGAAAGAGAAAGAAAGAAGGGAAGGAAGGAAGGAAAGAAAGAAGGAAAGGAAGGAAAAGAGAGAAAGAGAAAGAAAGAAGGGAAGGAAGGAAGGAAAGAAACAAGGAAAAGGATGAAAGAGAGGAAAGAAAGAAAAGATGCATGGCAAGGAGTTCTCATCCAGGTAATCTTAGATTCATTTTTGCCCAGTGACCACACACTCCTCTTGGGCCAAGCAGTGCTCTGGAAAAGTCTCCCACGTGTTCTTTTGGACCTTGAGATTAAAAGAATATCTTTTATATCTCAGGGATAGGGAAGTCCTCTCTAAGTAAGACACAAAACCCCGAAGCAATAAGGAAAAAATTGACAGGTTGAAGATTAAAAACTTCTCATATCCAAAAGATTCCCTAAACTAACTTAGACAAGTGGCAGACAGGGAGAAAACATTTGCAACATACTTAACAAGATCTTTTCTTCAGAGCATGTAAAGAGCTCCTAAAAGTCAAGAAAAAGACAAACACATGGTCAAAGGATATGACTAGAAAATTCACAGGATTCAAATGGCCAAGAAACATACGAAAACAGAAATTTGCACTAAAACAGCAGTGAGTTACACTTTCTTCCTTTGGCTTCCAGAATGCCACAGTAGCCTGGTTTTTCTCCTGCTTCAGGGGCTCCTCCACTTCAAGAGTCTCTATTTGGTTCTTTCTTTCTTTCTTTCTTTTTTTTTGAGATGGAGTCTCACTCTTTTGCCCAGGCTGGAGTGCAGTGGCATGATCTTGGCTCCCTGCAACCTCTGCCTCCCAGGCTCAAGCGATTCTCCTGCCTCAGCCTCCCGAATAGCTGGGACTACAGGTGAGTGCCACCACACTTGGCTAATTTTTTGTATTTTTAGTAGAGACGGAGTTTCACTATATTGGCCAGGCTGGTCTTGAACTCCTGATCTCAAGTGGTCCCGCCTGCTTCGGCCTCCTAAAGTGCTGGGATTACAGACGTGAGCCACTGCACCTGGCCTCTTTCTTGAGCCCTTAACCTTGGAGGACCCAGGGCACTGTCCTTGGTCCTCTTTTCTTCTTTGTCTACACTCACCCACAGCTTCATCCAGCCCCAGGTCCTCAGCCTGTCCCCCTGGGTCACAGCCTTCCCCTCTGCCAATGCTGGAGTTCCCCTTAGTGCTGCCCTAAGAGATTTTTAAAAACACAGCTATACATTCATTGTTTTAAGAGCTTGGCATTTTAATGTTTTGCTGCAGGAGAGGGAGGCTTCAGGGATTCACACTTATGTATATACATGATGTTATTTCTGTAAGTGCAAACACATACATTTATGGCTATATGCATGGAAAAGCCCAGAAAGTGACACACCAAGATGTTATGAGTGTTTATCTATGGGTTGTGGGATTACTAGAACTTTAAAAATGTCATTAGCACCATCAAATAGATTTACAACTGTAATGCTGATTTTAAAAATAACTTAAGTGTGTAACAATAGGTTACATACGCTAGTGTTCATTCATAGCTGGAATGCTACACAATCATTAAAAAGCGTGTTGGCAATGATACTTACCGATATGGCAAAATTCTCACTACTTGATGCCAGGTAAAACAGCAGGAGATGCCAGATATACAGTCTATACAGTCTGATGCCAGTTTTATATAATAAATTTTTAAAAAGAAAACGACATGCATCTAGAGAAAAGACTGGAAGGAAATGTATCAAAATGTTACCTGTGCATCTCTCCAGGTGACGTGAAAAGCGTTTTTCAACTTCTTGAATTTTTCAGGTTCCGCAAAAAAAAAAGTGCGTTATTTTTACCTTAATTAAAAAAAAAAAAAACAAACAAAAACCCTGGTTCTTATTCTTTTTGAGCAGCAAGTCGCTGTCCGCCGGGCGCAGTAGCGATGCACCGCGTCCCCGCCCGCGTCGCTGCCGGGTCGCCGGAGGCCGCAGCACGGGCAGGTCCAGCAGGCCGCAGCGCCCCCCCGCGGTATGTCCCGGCGGCGGGAAGGGGGTGGGCGCGGAGGGCGGGGAGGAGGCGCCGGGCGTCCCCGCGCTTCCCGCGAGATCCCGCTCCGCCCGCTCCGCCCCGCTCGCCGCGCTCCCAGCTCCCCGCGCCGCGGCACTTCCTGCCTTCCGCGCCCGCGCCGCCCGCCCTCGTCTGCGCCCGTCGCCTGCCGCCCGCCGCCCGGCGACGCGCCCGCCGGCGTCCCCGGAGGTGCCCCCGGCCCGGCCGGGTCGTCGCCCCGCCGCCGCGCCCGCGAGCCGCTTTGTCTCGGGCGGGGCGCGCGGGAGAGGCCGCCAGGTGCCCCCCGCCACGGGCCCGGGCCCCCCGCCCCGGGGCGGCGGCGGCGGCGCCGGGCCCCGGGGCGGGGGGCGCGCCGGGATGGGCCCCAAGAGGCGACAGCTGACGTTCCGGGAGAAGTCACGGATCATCCAGGAGGTGGAGGAGAATCCGGACCTGCGCAAGGGCGAGATCGCGCGGCGCTTCAACATCCCGCCGTCCACGCTGAGCACGATCCTGAAGAACAAGCGCGCCATCCTGGCGTCGGAGCGCAAGTACGGGGTGGCCTCCACCTGCCGCAAGACCAACAAGCTGTCTCCCTACGACAAGCTCGAGGGCTTGCTCATCGCCTGGTTCCAGCAGATCCGCGCCGCCGGCCTGCCGGTCAAGGGCATCATCCTCAAGGAGAAGGCGCTGCGCATAGCCGAGGAGCTGGGCATGGACGACTTCACCGCCTCCAACGGCTGGCTGGACCGCTTCCGCCGGCGCCACGGCGTGGTGTCCTGCAGCGGCGTGGCCCGCGCCCGCGCGCGAAACGCTGCCCCCCGCACCCCGGCGGCGCCTGCCAGTCCGGCCGCGGTGCCCTCGGAGGGCAGTGGCGGGAGCACTACTGGTTGGCGCGCTCGGGAGGAGCAGCCGCCGTCGGTGGCCGAGGGCTACGCCTCGCAGGACGTGTTCAGCGCCACCGAGACCAGTCTATGGTACGACTTCCTGCCCGACCAGGCCGCGGGGCTGTGCGGAGGCGACGGACGGCCGCGTCAAGCCACCCAGCGCCTGAGCGTCCTGCTATGCGCCAATGCCGACGGCAGCGAGAAGCTGCCCCCGCTGGTGGCCGGCAAGTCGGCCAAGCCCCGCGCAGGCCAAGCCGGCCTGCCCTGCGACTACACCGCCAACTCCAAGGGTGGTGTCACCACCCAGGCCCTGGCCAAGTACTTGAAGGCCTTGGACACCCGAATGGCTGCAGAGTCTCGCCGGGTCCTGCTGTTGGCCGGCCGCTTGGCTGCCCAGTCCTTGGACACCTCGGGCCTGCGGCATGTGCAGCTGGCCTTCTTCCCTCCCGGCACCGTGCATCCGCTGGAGAGGGGAGTGGTCCAGCAGGTGAAGGGCCACTACCGCCAGGCCATGCTGCTCAAGGCCATGGCCGCGCTAGAGGGCCAGGATCCCTCAGGCCTGCAGCTGGGTCTCACGGAGGCCCTGCACTTTGTGGCTGCCGCCTGGCAGGCAGTGGAGCCTTCGGACATAGCCGCCTGCTTTCGTGAGGCTGGCTTTGGGGGTGGCCCTAATGCCACCATCACCACTTCCCTCAAGAGTGAGGGAGAGGAAGAGGAGGAGGAGGAGGAAGAAGAGGAGGAGGAAGAGGGTGAAGGAGAGGAAGAGGAGGAGGAAGGGGAGGAGGAGGAGGAGGAAGGGGGGGAAGGAGAGGAATTGGGGGAGGAAGAGGAGGTGGAGGAGGAGGGTGATGTTGATAGTGATGAAGAAGAGGAGGAAGATGAGGAGAGCTCCTCGGAGGGCTTGGAGGCTGAGGACTGGGCCCAGGGAGTAGTGGAGGCCGGTGGCAGCTTCGGGGCTTATGGTGCCCAGGAGGAAGCCCAGTGCCCTACTCTGCATTTCCTGGAAGGTGGGGAGGACTCTGATTCAGACAGTGAGGAAGAGGACGATGAGGAAGAGGATGATGAAGATGAAGACGACGATGATGATGAGGAGGATGGTGATGAGGTGCCTGTACCCAGCTTTGGGGAGGCCATGGCTTACTTTGCCATGGTCAAGAGGTACCTGACCTCCTTCCCCATTGATGACCGCGTGCAGAGCCACATCCTCCACTTGGAACACGATCTGGTTCATGTGACCAGGAAGAACCACGCCAGGCAGGCGGGAGTTCGAGGTCTTGGACATCAAAGCTGAGTCACTGGACCTAGCTGTGCCCCCAACCTAGATTGGCAGCACCACCCCAGGGCAGAGGACTCTCTGGGCACCCGCTGTGCATGGAGCCAGAGTGCAGAGCCCCAGATCCTTTAGTAATGCTTCCCCTGGTCCTGCAACAGGCCCGGTCACCTCGGCCGGGCCCGGGGCTGAGGTCAGCCTCACTGCCTGCTTATTGCCTCTTTCTCAGAATCCTCTTTCCTCCCCATTTGGCCCTGGGCTCAGGGGACCAGGTGGGGCGGGTGGGGAGCTGTCCGGTGCTACCACACCGTGCCCTCAGTGGACTAACCACAGCAGCAGCCAGGGATGGGCCCTGGAGGTTCCCGGCCGGAGAGTGCCTCTCCCCTCTGCCATCCACGTCAGGTCTTTGGTGGGGGGACCCCAAAGCCATTCTGGGAAGGGCTCCAGAAGAAGGTCCAGCCTAGGCCCCCTGCAAGGCTGGCAGCCCCCACCCCCACCCCCCAGGCCGCCTTGAGAAGCACAGTTTAACTCACTGCGGGCTCCTGAGCCTGCTTCTGCCTGCTTTCCACCTCCCCAGTCCCTTTCTCTGGCCCTGTCCATGTGACTTTGGCCCTTGGTTTTCTTTCCAGATTGGAGGTTTCCAAGAGGCCCCCCACCGTGGAAGTAACCAAGGGCGCTTCCTTGTGGGCAGCTGCAGGCCCCATGCCTCTCCTCCCTCTCTGGCAGGGCCCCATCCTGGGCAGAGGGGCCTGGGGCTGGGCCCAGAGTCCAGCCGTCCAGCTGCTCCTTTCCCAGTTTGATTTCAATAAATCTGTCCACTCCCCTTTTGTGGGGGTGAACGTTTTAACAGCCAAGGGTGCATCCTTCATGGTCTGGGCTTGCGTCTGTCTTGGGGGACTTATTCGTCCTGGCTCTCTTTGGTCCTTGCTCTGGTGGGACATGGAGGCAAGTGTTGAGAGGGTTGCCCTGACCGGAAGAGGGGCAGGAGGAGACCTCAAGCTTGGGGTCACTTGGCTGGGGCAGGAGGGAGCCATCAGTCTCTGGGGGCAAATCAATATGCACGTGGGGACTAGGCCTACCGAGGCTGGTTTGAAGGCCTTTGCAGGAGTGGGGTCAGGACAGAAAGAAAGGAGTGTTGGGGCAGCTTCTGGGGTCCAGATTGGAGTTTGGAGGGGCATATAGGTCACCCTTTGGTTTACCTTTGGTGCCTTAAGAGGGAGCCCTTTAGGCCTTTCAGTGATTGGCATATCCAAGCCTGGTGGCCACCTCTAGGCACAGTGGCAGGAGGAAGGTGAAATTGCTAGGAACAGGTTGCACCCCCAAGAGGCAGAGGATGGTTGGTAACTCCCTGTGCAGTGCCTTCCAGGGGGCCCCCAGTACAAAGGTGAGGTCAGGTCCCTTTGCTGATCCTACCCTTTTTCCTTTCAGAGCCAGCCCCTCCCTCCCTACCCCTCCTCACTGAGGCCCTCAGGCCCCAGCAGTTCCAACCAAGGGAGGGCCTGGGCTTGAGCATGGCTGGCAGCTCTGGGCCCCAAACCGGTTTTCCCACCTCACCTGAGGCTGGCACATCACTTCTGTGTTTCCTTCCCATCCCCGGCCCACCTTTACCACCAAGTTTCTCCTCTCCAACACTGGGAATGTTAATGGGGGAGTATCCAGTTCATCTCTTGTCCCTGGCCTGCCCTGGTTATGGCCCCTTATGGAAAATCAAGACCACTATATATGACTTTAAAACAAGAAATGGGGGTGACTTCCACTCTTGGCCTCTACTTCTGGCATTCAGGAATCCCCTCCAGGCCTTGAGGGCTTTGAAGTGACAACAAAAAGTAGTTGGGATCCCCCTTGCCACCACCTTCCCTCCCGAAATCCGAGCCCTGGAGTTGGAGACCAGAAGGCCACAAGGAAGCCCCACCTGCTCTCGAGTGAGCAGGAGGAGCATTGCCTGCTTGCCCAGGTGCTCCTGTTTAACCCAGCTACCTCACCGCAGGTTCCAACAAGACGAATTACTTCCATTTGTCTCCTGCGAAAAAGAACAGTTCTTGCTGGAACTGAGACTGTCTCATTAATGATAGTACCAGCTGATACTAATAGGGCCCCTGCTCTGTGCTAAATGCTTTAGATGCTCACAAAGCCCCTATAAGGTAGGTAAAGCCATGAGAAACCAGGCAGCGGTCCGGTCAGGTGCCCAAGGCCATGCCGTTAGTCAAACTCTCTTCTCATCCTGACTCTAGAAGTACCTCTTCACTAAGGAGGGACCCATATTCCTAACCCCCTTATGGGTACTGCAATGAATTTGTTTCTTTCTTTTCTTTTCTTTCTTTTTTTTTTTTTTTTGAGATGGAGTCCCGCTCTGTCGCCTAGGCTGGAGTGCAATAGCATGATCTTGGCTCACCAACCTTTGACTCCCGGGTTCAAGCGATTCTCTTGCCTCAGCCTCCTCAGTGGCTGGGATTACAGGCATCCACCACCACACATGGCTAACTTTTTTTTGTATTTTCAGTAGAGACGGGGCGAAAGCCATGTTGGCCAGGCTGGTCTCGAACTCCTGACCTCAGGTGATCTGCCCGCCTCGGCCTCCCAAAGTGCTGGGATTACAGGCATGAGCCACTGTGCCCTGCCTGAAATGAATTTCTAATCCATGGAAGAATAGCTCATTGACGGGTGATGAGGGGTTTGGGACAAATAAGTGAGAACCATCGTCATTTCACAAAGGAGGAAATAGAGTTAAGAAGTTAAATGACCTGCCAAGGTACTGGCCTTGAACTCTGGTGTTCTCCCTGGGAGTCTGGGTTACCTATTAAATACCCCACTAGAACACTGCTGGGAAGGGCGAGTGGCAATGGCCCCATGAGCATAGAGTTTTTGGAGAGGGACGAAGCAGGAAGCAGTTGTATCACGCAATCCATTTGGGTGGCAGATTATCAACAACGCACCCCCAAATAAAGCTGACCAACACTGGAGTGCTCCCTTCACTTGGGACTAAAGGGCTGAAGGGCCAAGAAGGGGGATCCCCACCCTAGGGGTGCAGATGCAGGAATTCTGGGGTCCTGGTTGGCTTTGGCTGGTCCCAAAATGGATGAGTGGCTGGTCACTAGGTGGCGTGGGCACAGAAGTGATGCTTTCTTGGGAAGAAGACAAGGGCAGCTAACCGCCTTTTCAAAGCTCGGGCCTGAGAGGAGGTAGCGGGGAGGGGATAAAACTACAACTCCCAGAAGTCTTTGTACCCAGGAGAGTCGGGAATGGTTTCCATGGTTTCAGAAAACAATATGGCCGCTCCCAGCTGGGACGTGAGTCTCTGGATTAGGCAGGCAGAGGCAGTTATGGGCTTCTGCAGTGGCGAGAAAGGAAGCGCCTGAAGGGTCGTGAGGCTGGGGCGGGACCCGGCACCGCTGGGGCGGCCAGGCCGTGAGGACGCCAATGGCGAGCAGCGTGGACGAGGAGGCGCTGCACCAGCTGTACCTGTGGGTAGACAACATCCCTCTGTCCCGGCCCAAGCGAAACCTCTCCCGGGACTTTAGCGATGGAGGTGTGTGCCCTTGTGTGTCTGCATGTTCTGTCCTGTATGTTCGTGTGTAACGGGTCTCTGTGCAAACTCTTTGTGTTTGTGTGCTTGTGGGAGTGGGGAGGAATCTGCCTCCTGGGACTTCAAATTTTAGATGTGTGTGCTTGTTTTCTATTTGCATCTGTGTGTGAACGATGTGTGTCCATATATGTATGTCTACATGTTCTATCCTGTGTGCATGTTGGGGGGGGTGCCTCTAACTCCCTCCAGGGACATTAATGATTAAGATATGTGTCTGCATATGTATTTATGCATTTCTGTATGTGCTCACTCATTGCTATGTGTTCTATGTCTTCTGGGAGTCTGAGCATGTGTGTGTTCATATGTGTTGACATGTTTAGTCTTGTATTTGGGGGGGTCTTGTGTGCATGTGTTTCTTTGTGATTGTGAAGGTGTTTGTGTTTCTAGGAATGTCTCCTGGGATCTCAATGACAGAAATACTTATCTGTCATCTTTTCATGTCAAGTACTTCTATGCATCTCTGTATCTGTATATTTGGGGAGGCTGTGTGCATATGTGGCTTTTTGTGCTTCTGTCTATGTGTGTTCTACATGTGTGCCTATGTGTGTCTAGCATGTGTTTGTTCTATGTGTCTACACATTCTGCCCTATGTATCTATGTGTAGGGGGATCTTATCACATGTGTCTCTGCTTACGTGAGTCTTTTACTCTCCTGGAACTTTGGTGTTGGAGTGTGTGTGTGTGTGTGTGTGTGTGTGTGTGTGTGCATCATGCATCCATGTGAATTCCCTGGGCTCCTGAAAGCTTCTCTTGGAGACTCATTCTCTTTTTTTTTTTTTTTTTTTTTTGAGACAGAGTCTCACTCTTGTCGCCCAGGCTGGAGTGCAGTGGCATGATCTCAGCTCACTGCAACCTCCACCTCCTGAGTTCAAGCGATTCTTCTGCCTCAGCCACCCAAGTAGCTGGGTTTACATGCACCACCACACCTGGCTAACTTTTGTATTTTTAGTAGAGATGGGGTTTCACCATGTTGGCCAGGCTGGTCTCGAACTCCTGGCCTCAGGTGATCTACCCGCCTCAGCCTCCCAAAGTGTTGGGATTACAGGTGTGAGCCCCTGCACTGGCTGACTCATTCTCTACTGGAGGACCAGAGACTCAGTATTCCCATTCCTAAATTAGTGGGGAAGGGATGCAGCTCCTCTGAGGTATGCTGGAGACTTAGTCTCCTCTACCTATCACTAATCTTAATGTCTTTGTCTCCCTCCTTATCCTTCCCCTTTCCGCATCTCCACCCCTCCATTGGGTTCCACCACTCTGCCATGCCTGATTCTCCCACCCCCACCTTCTCTCACCTCCTCCTTCCTTACCCATGCCCCCACTTTCCATGTCTGCTCCCCTCTCCCTCAGTCCTTGTTGCAGAGGTCATCAAGTTTTACTTCCCCAAGATGGTGGAGATGCACAATTATGTCCCCGCCAACTCTCTCCAGCAGAAGCTCAGCAACTGGGGTCATCTGAACAGGTAGCAGAATACCTGTGCAGCCCCATCATCTCCTATGGTCTTGGTTGCCCAGGCTGAGACTGTTTTGGTGGCAGGGTGGGGAGGGTCAACGCAGACAGAATTCGTCCGATTACAAAATCAAGAGACTCTTCTATTAGGAAGGAGGCAAGGAACCTCGGAACACCCACACAAGGAAGCTCAGATGCGATGCGCTTTCACTCCCCCAGGGCTGTACACTCAGAACAGCAACCACCATGCCCCCTTCCCTCTCCCCCATCCCCTCGCTTCATTTCCCCAGGACCCAATCTGCTATCCCAATGTCTACCCCTCAGGAAGGTACTGAAGAGGCTGAACTTTTCAGTACCGGATGACGTGATGCGCAAGATCGCGCAGTGCGCCCCAGGCGTGGTGGAGCTGGTGCTCATCCCGCTGAGGCAGCGCCTGGAGGAGAGGCAGAGGCGCAGGAAGCAGGGCGCCGGCTCCTTACAGGTGCCACCCCGCTCCAGCTTCTCCCACTGCTCTGGGGGCTGGGTGGGGGGCGCTCCCCAGACCACAGAAAGGCCAGCCTGGGTGATAAGTGTGGGGGAGGGGTGCTTGGCTAATAGAGCCTGGCCTGGGGGCCCGTGGAAGGGACATGGGGCTCCTTGGGGATGACTGAGCCCGGGCTTACAGCGGACCCCCGGGGTTCTTTCAGGAGCTGGCTCCCCAGGATGGCAGTGGCTACATGGATGTGGGTAAGGTGGCCTTTTCCATTTCTCCCTCCCGGTTGGAGCTTTCCTTCTGTCCTTCTTCCTGTCACTTGTGAGAGTGGAAGTAGGGAGGGGGAAGCAGGAGAATGAGACTCCAGCACAGTCATTCCTCCACTTGCCTTGTCTCAGGTGTATCCCAGAAGGCCCGAGGTGAAGGTGTCCCGGACCCCCAGGGAGGGGGTCAGCTCAGGTAAAGAAGCTGGGAGTTCCAGACTTCACCAGGCTGGTGATCTCTGCACACAGCTGGGGTTGGGGGGCACGGTACGCTGAGCCTGAGACGGGAGGCAGGAAAGGGGCTAGAGGGGGAGAAGGGAAGGCCTGGTCGAGGGCCCTGGAAGGGTGAGTGTAGGGCCCGAGGTCCAAGCCTCCGCTAAGCTGCTTCCCACCCCAGCTGGGACCGGCCGCCGGCGCCTCGGCCTCCAGCGTATAACCGGGCGTTGCAGGGCGACCCCAGCTTCGTCCTCCAGATCGCTGAAAAGGAGCAGGAGCTGTTGGCCTCTCAAGAGACCGTGCAGGTGAGGGGTCTAGGAAGGCTGCGGGTGGGGGCTCGCGGCCAGCAGAGGCCGGGCAGGAGGGAGCAGACCGCCAGGCTTGACGCCTGCGCGGTGCGGCTTAGGTCCTGCAGATGAAGGTAAGGCGCCTGGAGCACCTGCTCCAGCTCAAGAATGTGCGGATCGAAGACCTCTCCCGGCGGCTCCAGCAGGCGGAGCGTAAGCAGCGGTGAGCGGCGGCCCGGGCCGCGCGGGGACGCCCGGGTACCCGCCAGAGCCCCGACGCCGCGCCGGACCCACCCACCGATGGATAGACCATTGGGAGGGCGGAGCCCGCTGCTCTCACGAGCCTGCTGGGGCCCGAGTGCCCTCCTTCCTTGGGATGGGTGAGCGTGGGAGGAGATGGGACAGGAACTCTAGGAGCGCAGGCCCGGGACTGAGCCGCCTCCTACCACTCCGGAGATCCGGGTCAGGAGAATGGACCGCTTTCCAGAGCCCAGAAGCCACGTGCAGAGACCTAGCCTGTCCCCCAAAGCAGTGTCCAACACCTTGGGCCCGGCCTTGCATCTCCCGGCGCTGGGCCTTGGGGGGCGGTCCCTTGGCTCTGTCCACACCCCCAGAATCAGGTCCCCGCCCAGCTCCGAGGACGGCGGCGTCTCCATCCAGGCTAGTTCCCCATGCCCTCAGCCATGGGGGAATCTGTCCCGGGCCGCTGAGGGGCTCCCCTGCCCCTCCTGGGAGCTTACCTGGGACCCACCTCGGCGACGGAGACCGCAGCAGCTGGAGAGGAAGGGGTGAGGCGTGGGATCGCCAGGAGTAGGGAGGACATCGACGATGTGCCCGTAGCAGTCGCCCCTCCCTCCTCGCGCACGGGGTACTGAGGCGGAAGGTTTGAAGGTTACGGCTCAGGGCTGCCCCATTAAAGTCAGTGTTGTGTTCTATTTCCTGTGCCTGCCTTCTCTTTTTGCATCTGAGGGGAGCCAGTTTCTTCTTCACTTGTCCTCCATCTCCCCACCCCCGCCTTGAGTGAAAGAGCTTTCTGGACCCAGAGTGGATCTCATCTTGTGGGTGGCTGGGTCCTGTGCGGCCACAGCTTGGTAGGTTGATGATATCACCAGGGGTCAGGTTTTGCACAGGATGACAGCCTAACTTCTAACCCTGGCCTTAGATTGACCCCCAAACCCACCCTCACAGTGTTCTCCAACCTTGTCCAAACCCAACCCCAAACCAGACTTCAAATTGTTCCCAAATGTGGCCACACACTCACCCTCAACCCTACGTAAGGACTGACCCCTAACTCGGCCCTCTGTACGACTCCAACCCTGCCCACAGACAATCCCAACTTCCATGGATTGAGGCCAGGCTTTACTCCCAACCCTGGCCAACACACTACAGCCATGGCATGACCCTAACTTTAATGGTTTTCTGACTACCAGTAATGTGGAACATTTGTAAATCCTGAGATCCAGCTGGGCATGGTGGCTCAGGCCTGTAATCCCACCACTTTGGGAGGCCAAGGCAGGTGGGTCACTTGAGGCCAGGAGTTCAAGACCAGCCTGGCCAATGGTGAAAACCCATCTCTATTAAAAATACGAACAATTAGCCAGGCGTGGTGGCGGGCACCTGTAGTCCCAGCTACTTGGGAAGCTGAGGCAGGAGAATTGCTTGAAGCTGGGGGGCAGAGGTTGCAGTGAGCCAAGATCGCACCACTGCACTCCAGCCTAGGCAACAGAAGGACACTCTGTCTCAAAACAAAACAAACATCCTGAGATCTAACAATTCCATTCCTAGGCATATACCCAGCACATACCCAAGGGAAACCTAGGCTCTTGTGTTCTGTGTTCTGGGAGACATGTTACAACAACGTTCATAGCAACACTCTTTTTGTTTGGTTTTGTTTTTTTTAAAATGGAGTCTTGCTCTGTCGTCCAGGCTGGAGTGCAATTGCACGATCTCGGCTCACTGCAACCTCCACCTCCTGAGTTCAAGCGATTCTCCTGCCTGAGCCTCTCAAGTATGTGAGATTACAGGTGCATGCCACCACATCTGGCTAATTTTTTATATTTTTGGTAGAGACAGGTTTCACCATGTTGGCTAGGCTGGCCTCGAACTCCTGACCTCAAGTGATCCACCTGCCTTGGCCTCCAAAAGTGCTGGGATTACAGGCGTGAGCCACCATGCCTGGCCCACAGAAACACTCTTTGTAATAGCAAAAGAAATGAAAAGAACCTGTATACATTATCTCTTACTGTGTAGCAAATTATCACCAATGTAGCAGCTTAGAACAACAAATACTTATTATTATATCTCACATTTTCTGTGGGTCAAGAGTCCAGGCCAGGCTTGGCTGGGTCCTCCACTTCAATGTTTCCTACAAGGCTGCAAGCAAAGGGCCAATAGAACTGCAGTCTCATCTGAAGGCACAACTGAGGAAGGATCCAGGCTTCCAGGCTTACTTGGTTGCTGACTGAATTTACTTCCTAGTGGGCTGTCAAACTGAAAGCTTCAGTGTTTTACTCATTGTTGGCCAATAGCCACTCTCATTTCCTTGACACATAGCCATCTCCAGTATGGTAGCTTACTTCATCAAAGACAGGAAAGGAGAGAGTTGATAGAGTCTATTACCAACAAGGGAGTTACAGGCCTGGTGCTGTGGCAGAGGTGCACTTCTCAGAGACAGACTTAGCTATATCTGGATACCAGGAGCAGAAGCCTCAAAGAGGAAGAACCATCAGGACCTGGCCCAGCCTTTGCCATGTAGGAGGCCAATAGGTGAGGTCGTGATACCAGCCATCAAACCTGTCTTCTGGGCCCACAGTGCTACTGCTAAGGCAGAACTGTTAGCCTGCCCTGTCTCCTGGTCCTCGGGCCACTCCATCAGCCATTCCTACTATCTTTACATATAGCAGCCTACAGGTGAGGTTACATGGATAAAAGTTTCAGGGAATAGAACTCCGGGGGCCTATTGCAGACTATGGAGAGATCGTGGTGCTATAGCAAGGGTCAGTGTGTGTGAAGGGCTAACGGTTAGTTTGGGGCAAGTGGAGGGTCAGGTGGAGCCAGTGTTAAACTAAGACCAGGTGGAGTGCATGGATGGGGCTCAGAACAAGGTCAGGAGTAGTTGGCAATTTTTATTTCATTTATTATTGAATATTTTAAATATTACTGAATTGGACTAAATATAATCCTTGGTTCATGACACTCTCTCCCCATTTGTCCATAATCAACTCACTTATGAACACCTATAAATCCACCACCTGCCCCAAGAATGGAATTATTACAAATAACTTTCACCGGCCATGTGCTTCTTGCATCTCTCCCCCTTGCTTCCACTCAGAGATAACCACCATCCTAGATTTCATCCTTTCATTGCTTTTTCCTCCTTGTAGTAGACAGCTCCTAACGTGGCTCCCAGTAATCCCTGCCTCCTGGACGTCACCCCCATGTGTACCCTTTCCTTGAATGTAGGCTGGACTTAGTGACTTGCTTCTGATAAGTAGAATACAGCAAATGTGATAGGATGTCAACTTTTGTGATTACATTAGATAAGATTATAACTCCCTTATTTTTAATTTAATTTTTAAAAAATTTTTCTTTCTTTCTTTTTTTTTGTTTTGAGACAGAGTATTGCTCTGTCACCCAGGCTGGAGTGCAGTGGTATGATCTCGGCTCACTGCACTCTCCACTTCCCTGGTTCAAGTGATTCCTCTGTCTCAGCCTCCCAAGTAGCTGGGATTACAGGCACACGCCACCACACCCGGCTACTTTTTGTATTTTTAGTAGAGACGGGGTTCCACCATATTGGTCAGGCTGGTCTCAAACTCCTGACCTCAGGTGATCCACCAGCCTCGGCCTCCTAAAGTGCTGGGATTACAGCCGTGAGCCACCGCACCCAGCCCTAACTCCCTTCTTTTTTAGAGACAGGGTTTTACTCTGTCGCCCAGGCTGGAGTGCAGTGGCACAATCTTGGCTCACTGCAACCCCAGCCTCCCAAGTTCAAGCAATCTTTACACCTCAGCCTCTAGAATAGGTGGGAGGACAGGTGCATACCACCATATCCAGCTAATTTTTTTTTTTTATGAGATGTCTCACTCTGTCATCCAGGCTGGAGTGCAGCGGCATGATCTCGGCTCACTGCAACCTCTGCCTCCCAGGTTCAAGCTATTCTCCTGCCTCAGCCTCCTGAGTTGCTGGAATTACAGGCACCTGCCACTACGCCCAACTAATTTTTGTATCTTCAGTAGAGATGGTGTTTCACCATGTTGGCCTAGTTGGTCTCGAACTGCTAACCTCAGGTGATCCACCCACCTCGGCCTCCCAAAGTGCTGGGATTACAGGTGTGAGCCACTGCTCCTGGGCTTTTTTTTTTTTTTTTTTTTTTTTTTTTTTTGTAGAGACAGGATTTCGCTTTGTTACCCAGGCTGGTCTCCAACTCCTAGGTTCAAGTGAGCCTCTTGCCTCAGCCTCCCAAAATGCTGGGATTACATGTGTGAGCCACTGTGCCTGGCCCCTCTCCTCTCTCTAACCGACACTAAATCTGCTATCTTCTGGTTCATTCATTCGTTCTTTCCTCTATTTATTGAGTACCTACTATGTACTAAATACCAGGAATACAAAAGTGAGTATAAAACATGATTTGTTCCCTCCAGTGTTCACAACCCTACAGGAGAGGAAGGCATGCAAGGGTATTTAAACTTTGTTACTTAATGTTTTGAATAGATAAAACATATATATGATTTAAAAAAAACACATAAAAAGTGAAAAGTCTTCTTATTCCCAGCACATCTCTAATAGGGAACCTCTATCTTTAGTTTTTATGTATCCTTCCGGAATGACTTTATGTGACTATAAACAAACATGCACATTTGTCTTACTCTTATTTTTGAGAGAAGAGTCTTGTTTTGTCACCCTGGCTGGAGTGTAGTGGCACAATTTCAGTTAACTGCACCCTCCACCTCCTGGGTTCAAGTGATTCTCGTGCCTCGGCCTCCTGAGTAGCTGGGACTACAGGCTCATGCCACCATGCCCAGCTAATTTTTATGTATTTAGTAGAGGCAGGTTTCACCATGTTGACCCGAACACCTGAGCTCGAGTGAGCCGCCCGCCTCGGCCTCCCAAAGTGCTGGGAAAACAGGGGTAAACCACCGCACCCGGCTAAGGTTAACATTTAAATCAGCAGATGAGGCCGGGCACGGTGGCTCACGCCTGTAATCCCAGCACTTTGGGAGGCCGAGGCGGGCTAATCACCTGAGGTCAGGCATTCAAGACCAGCCTGGTCAACATGGCGAAACCCCGTCTCTACTAAAAATACAAAAATTAGCCGGGCGTGGTGGTGATTGCCTGTAACCCCAGCTACTCAGGAAGCTGAGGCAGGAGAATCGCTTGAACCCGGGAGGTGGAGGTTGCAGGGAACCAAGATCATGCCACGGCACTCCAGCCTGGGCAACAGAGTGAGAATCCATTTCAAAAACAAAAGGAAAAAAGAAAGAAATCAGCAGATGAGTGAAACAGATTTCCCTCTCTAATGTGAGTGGGCCACATCCAGTCAGTTGAGACCTAAATAGAAGAAAAAGGCTGGCCCTCCCCAAATAAGAGAGAATTTTTATTGCCTGGTGGTCTTTGAACTGGAACATCAGCTTTTTTCTCGCCTTTGGGATCAAACTGAAACATTGATTCTTCCTTGGTCTCAAACCTGCTGCCCTTTGGACTGGAGATACATCATTGACTTTCCTGGCTCTCAGGCATTGGGACTCAGACTGGAACTAAACCATTGGCTCTCCTGGGTCTCCAACTTGCCAACCCAACCTGCAGCTCTTGGGACTGGTCAGACTCCATAATTGTGTGAGTCAATTCCTTATAATATGTCAGTCTTTCCTATCTGCCCTCTTTCCTAGTTCTGTTTCTCTGGAGAATCCTAGCTAATACAAAATCTTTCCTTAGCAGGCTGGGCACGGTAGCTCATGCCTGTAATCCTAGCATTTTGGGAGGCTGAGGTGGGTGGATCGCTTGAGGCCAGGAGTTCGAGACCAGCTTGTATAACATGGCAAAACCCCATCTCTACTAAAAATACAAAAATTATCCCGGCATGGTGGCTCACGCCTGTAATCCTGGCTACTTGGGAGGACATTGAAAACTTCCTCTTTTTTTTTTTTCTTTTTAAAGCCATATAACATTATATTGTCTGTACCAAATTTATTTAAGAAGTCTTCTATTTATGGAC
Source organism: Homo sapiens (assembly GCF_000001405.40). NCBI lineage: Eukaryota > Metazoa > Chordata > Mammalia > Primates > Hominidae > Homo > Homo sapiens. Next base: position 3,772,224 of record NC_000020.11, on the reverse strand, counting down.
ATTTGAGTTATTTCCAATCTTTTGCTATCACAAGAATGCAACAATAAATAACCTCATACACTCATGATTTAGTATCATGGGGAAGTATATCTAAATGATAAATTCCAGAACTGGGGTTCCTAGATCAAAGAATATATGCATCTGTAATCTTTGTTGTGTTTTTTTTCCTCTCTCTTTTTTCTTTTTTGAGTCAGAGTCTCGCGCTGTGGCCCAGGCTGGAGTGCAATGACACTATCTTGCCTCACTGCATCCTCTGCCTCCCGGGTTCAAGCGATTCTCCTGCCTCAACCTCCTGGGTAGCTGGCATTACAGGCACCTGCCACCACGCCCAGCTAATTTTTTGTATTTTTAGTAGAGATGGGGTTTCACCATGTTGGCTGTGTGTGTGTGTGTGTGTGTGTGTGTGTTTTCTCTTTTTTTGTGTGTGCATTTGTAATCTTGATAGCTGTTGTGAAATTGTCCTCTACAAGGGCATGGCTCAGAGGAGAGGCTGAAGACTGGTAGTCCGTTGCCCTGCTTTGTTTGGTTAGCATGGTGTAGCGTTTTTTACAAAATTGCAAATTTTTATGTTGATGAGGATGTGAAGCAACAGAAACTCTTATACTCTGCTAATGGGAGTGTAAGTAAGTACAGTCATTTTGGAAAACAATTTGCCAGTTTCTTTTAAAATTAAACACATGCCATGGCTGGGCATGGTGGCTCAAGCTTGTAATCCCAGCACTTTGGGAGTCTGAGGTGGGTCGGTCACCTGAGGTCAGGAGTTCGAGACCAGCCTGGCCAACATGGTGAAACCCCGTCTCTATTAAAAATACAAAAAAATTGGCCAGGCACGGTGGCTCATGCCTGTAATCCCAGCACTTTGGGAGGCTGAGGCAGGCAGTTTACCTGAGGTTGGGAGTTCGAGACTAGCGTGACCAACATGGAGAAACCCGTCTCTACTAAAAATACAAAATTAGCCGGCGTGGTGGCACATGCCTGTAATCTCAAAAAAAAAAAAAAAATACAAAAATTAGCTGGGTGTGGTGGCATGTGCCTGTAGTCCTGGCTACTGGGGAGGCTGAGGTGGGAGGAGTGCTTGAGCCCAGGAGGCAGAGGTTGTAGAGAGCTGAGATCGCACCACTGCATTCCAGCCTGGGTGACAGAGTAAGACTCTGTCTCAAAAAAAAAAAAAAAGTGGAATTACTCATTTCATTTATCATTTTTATTAGGTACTGCCAAGCAGTTTTCCAATGAGGTTATAGTTGTTTAATTTTTAATTAAAAAGAATAGAGGGCTGGGCACAGTGGCTTGTGCCTCTGGTCTGGTCCCAGCACATTAGGAGCCCAAGGTCGGGGGATCGCTTGAGGCCAAGAGTTTGAGACCAGCCTGGGCAACATAGTGAGACCCTGTCTCTGAAAAATAAAAAAAAAAACAAAAAACCGTGTGTTTGGAGTTGTAGCAAGTGTTGTGTTTTTTTGTTTTTTTTTAAAAGTCACCAGGTTCTCATGGTGAGTGGATTTTTTTTTTTTTTTTTTTGGAGATGGAGTCTGGCTCAGTCGCCCAAGCTGGAGTGCAGTGGCGCAATCTCGGCTCACTGCAAGCTCCGCCTCCCGGGTTCACGCCATTCTCCTGCCTCAGCCTCCCGAGTAGCTGGGACTACAGGCATCAGCCACCATGCCCGGCTAATTTTTTGTATTTTTAGTAGAGACGGGGTTTCACCGTGTTAGCCAGGATGGTCTTGATCTCCTGACCTCATGATCCGCCCATCTCAGCCTCCCAAAGTGCTGGGATTACAGGCGTGAGCCACCACGCCCGGCCGTGAGTGGATGTTTTATACGTGCTCCATCTGTTCTCCTAACCTGGAGTTGTTCCTGATTCTTCTTGTCCTGCCTCTGTCTCCAGGGGGCCTGGTAGGGGCCTGTGGTTTCCCTTGCAGAGCCATCTATCTTTGGTAAGGCCCTCCGCACAGGAAGCCCCAGAGCCTGGGCACTACTCGTGTGGTAACACAGACACATTGGGCAGTGATGGGGCAGCCAGGTAACTCCTGCCCTGACTTCCTCCTGACACAAAGAGTCTAATTTTCTCCTGGAGGCTTTCCAGAACCATCTTTGGCCTTCCCTGAGAGCATGTAGTATCCCTAGGCATGGGCAGCTCTGTATTTCAGCTCCTCCCAGTGGGCCAGACTGCCCGATGCCTGGGAGTGTGAGGAACATTTGGCAAGGACAGGAGACCACAGTTCTTTGTGTGTGGTGTCCCTCCTACACTAAACTGTGAGTGCCTTCCACTCCACAGAGCCTAGCACAATAACTTACTCATCAGATACATTCAGTAAATGTTTGCTGAAAGGAGTTGACAATTCGGAAATAACCCCGGGCTGTGCAGTTAGCAGCCAGTTTGTGTTTGAGAGAGCCCACACCAGAGATGGTTTTGAGAAGTTGGCTAGAAAGACTTTTGAAAAAGGCAGGCTTGGGCCAGGCGCGGTGGCTCATGCCTGTAATCCCAGCACTTTGGGAGGCTGAGGCAGGCAGATCACTTGAGGCTAGGAGTTTGAGACCCACCTGACCAACATGGTGAAACCCTGTCTCCACTAAAAATACAAAAATTAGCCCTGGGTGTGGTGGCGCGCACCTAGAATCCCAGCTACTTGGGAGGCTGAGGCAGGAGAATGGCTTGAACCCGGCGGGGGAGGGGGTGGAGGCTGTAGTCAGCCGAGATGGCACCACTGAACTCAAGCCTGGGCGACAGAGTGAGACTCTGTCTCAAAAATAAATAAATAAATAAATAGGCAAAACTTATCTTGGTTGAAGAGGGCTTGAATTTTGGCTATGAGAAGAGAGCGGGGAGGGCCTTCCAGGTTGGAAGGTGGGATAATGAGGGGGAGGGGATCACAAATGTCTGCACAGACCCAGAAGGTAACTAACCGTGAGAAACAGGGATTAGCGGGGACTATGGTAAATTTATGTGCTCTTAAAGGGGCTTGTAATGCCAGGCTGGAAAGTGAGCCCATGTTGTCAGATCTTCTGATATTTCAAAAGCCACGAAACCAGATTCCTGATTCCAGAAAGAGGCGGAGGAGGCAGGAGGGGGAAGGACTTCTTTTAAAAAGCCCCATGTGAGCTAAACAAAATACACCTACGGGCCACTTTGGGCCCACCGTCTGCCAACTTTAGACTTTCAAGACAAGGTCTAAAGGTAGTGTGGTGGGAGTGGGTAGAGTGGGCAGGAGTGGATGGGCTGAGATCAGAATGTGAAAAGCTCTCAATGTAAGCGCTGTCTCTCAAACGCGAGGGCACATGAGTCACCCAAAGTGCTGCTGAAGTTTGTGAAGCGCTACTGGAGGCAGTCCCAGAGGGCTTTGGAGCAGGAGAGGGACGCGATGAAAACAAGAGCTCAGAAAGATTAATTTGCCAACAGTGTGCAGACTGGAGATCAGCAGACAGGTTATGGGCCACAGGGTGGCAGACTTGAGGGCTCCTTTAAGGCAGCGACCCCGGCCCTGCTGAAGGGAGGCTGGCCTTCGGCCGCCCAGGCCGTCTCTCTAGTTCCGTTGGAAGCAAGGCGCTGCGTGCTCCGGACGGCTTACTGAGGGCACTTTGGGGAATCCGTCCCCACGGGCGAAGTATAGGTGGGGTGTTCGCGAACCGGCGGGCGGAGAGCACCGGCAAGAACCCCCGCAGACCGGAGGGCCACGCCTCTCGCTCCTCGGCTCATTGCAGGCGCCCACATCCCACCCCGCGGTGCTGAGCGAGGCGCATCTCGCTGCCATGGCGACCGCCTCCATGGAGACCGGGAGCAGAGGCTGCGGTCCCCGGGGGCGCGTCACAGGCTCTCCCAGCCCCCAGCCCGCGTGCCTTCTTTGTTCTGATGCTTCTCCAGGCCGGGCCAGGCACCCGGGACGCGTCTCGGGCCCGCACGGGGGTTGCTTCTTTCGAGACAGGGGATGGGGTGGAAGGGGAAGAGGTCCAAACCCTGGGGTCGAAACAGGAGTGATGGAGGGTTCCTCAGCTCCTGAACGAGACCAACACGGCCCGTATCGATGGCCGAAGCCGGCGTGGAAGCCCAGGGAGAAAGGCCACCTTCGGGAGCTCCACCCAGCCCCGAGACGCGCCCGACAGCCCTCCCGAGAGCGAAGGGCCCAAGGGAGGTGCGTCCTAAGCAAGGTTCAAGGCTAGAGGCGCTATCCCCCAGGCGGAAGAAGGAGCGGGGGCGGGGCCTATCCGAGGCCCTCCTTCTCCCTCTTCGAGTGGTCGGTTCTGGCCCCTGGCCTAGTTGGGCCGCCTGCCCGTCTTCCTCGCGAGAGCTCGCCCGGCAGGCGCGGACTAGCAGGGCGCTGCCTCGGCGACCCTGGCACGTGACGTAGGCGGCCCTCGCCAGTTGGCCGTTCTTTGGAGCCCGCTCATTGGTCCGGAGCGTCCCTCGCCCCACCCTCCCAGATCAACCAATGGGCGGAGGCGGGGGCGTGCCGACGGGAGGGCGGCCGCGGCGCGGGGCTCCCTTCCTCGTGCTCGGCGTTGAGCTCCTGCAGCCGCCGCCGCTGCAGTGGTCGTCCCTGCCCTCCCCGGCCCCGGGGTGCACCCCGCAAGGTGAGGCCACCCCTCTGCTCCCTGCCTCCCGGTTCCTTCCCGTTCGCCGAGGTCCCCTCCCGGTCCCGGCCCTGTCCTGAGCAGTCAGTGCCTGGGACCCCAGCGGCCGTGATGGCAGGGCTGGGGTGGGGGGCTCCGCTGTCGGGGCCGGGCCTGGAGGACTCCCCAGCACCTGAACTAGAGTGATGTCAGGTTCCCGGGGCGCAGTGACCGTTAGCTGGTGCAGCTGGGGTGTTTTCCGCGAAGCGATTGTCCGGGGGCATGAGTGCGGTAGTGAGGGCGGGGGCGTAATGGGGTCAGCGCCCCCTCCTCCCCACGACCCTGTTCATTGCCGCTGCCTCGCTGCATGACCTTGGACCAGTAGCATCTCTGAGCCTCCGAGCCTCAGCACCCTCAGGAAGGAGGGCAGTGATGTCTGGGAGTGCGGGCTCCGGAGACTCCTGCGTCAGCCGAGGTGAGTGAAGGTGGGGAGTGCACAGGATTATCTCCGAGGGACAGAGCCGCCGCCTCGCAGCTCAGGATGGATTGGATGGGGGGGATGTCCGATTACATTTCCCCCCTCCCCCTGAGATGACAAGAATGGGGTGTGGCGGGGGTGCCACACCCACAGGGATGGCTGCCGGAGAGGATAAAGGGTCCTACACCTGGACCCTTGGGGCCTCGGGGGCTTGGGCTGCACCTCCCTCCCGGTGGTATGAAGGAGGAGGGACTGGATTTAGGTTCTGGACCCGTGTTTCCATTAGTAAGCAGGGACTGAGAAAGGGAAGTCTCCGCTTGCCTTTCTTCTTGAATCTTGGCACTGGAAAGTGGAGGTAGGGCATTTTTCTGCTCCGGGGAGTTGAAGAAAGTCGGGGCAGCACCCCATCCCTCTCCCATTCTGGTCTTTTGTGGAGGGAAAATGTAGCTGGATATCCCCCCACATTCTATCCATCCTGAGCTACGAGGCAGCAGCCCTGTCCCTGGGAGATAATCCTGTGTGCTCCCACCCTCACCTTGGCTGACCCCCTGGATCCAGCCTGGCCTCTGCTTCTTGGGACCTCTGGATCACAGGCCCAGGGCAGGGCCTAGGTGGGGCATGCTATCTGGAGGCTAAGCACCCACTAGCTGAGGGCAAAGTGGGGAGAATGCTGGGCAGAGGAGGGCAGCACTTGTTGGGGAGGCAGGAAGGTGTGGGTGGTGAGGGTCCCTTCTCCATATTCCCCCACCCCCACCCCCAGCACCTCACTGTTAGAAGGAGAGAGAACAGCCATACTTATCTTTGCACCTTTGGCCCACTGGAGGGAGAAGGAAATTAAATCACATTAAAGCTGAGTTGATGTGAAGCTGCCACAACTACTGACCTCCAGCCTTGCCTTTCCAGGCTTTGTTCTGAGTATGTGTGGCCTCTGCTGTGTCCAGTCCTGAGAGTCAGCGGGTCAGTGTGGCCCCATCTCAAGGCCTCAATGGCTGTTCTTTTCACAGGCGTGAGCTTTAATGGGAGGCTACACAGTGCTTCTGCTGGACTGAGTGCTTGAGCCAGGACTGAGCCCCAGGCTGGGGTAGGAGAGGAAGAGGTAGGGAGGGTGGAAGGTTGCGGAGTTCCTGGCTCAGAGAGAAAGACCTCGAACCACAATGAGAATGGGGACTGAAGAAGGAATGAGAAATGAGGTCTCAGACGTTGGGAGCATGCTGACCAGAGGTGAATGGGTGTAGCTCCTCTTCCTGCACCCTGGGCTGGGGCCTGGAAGCTTGCTGACACTCCATCTCATGGGGAAGGGTATAATTTTTTTTGCTGGCGGGGAGGCACCATGTTCCTCCCTAGTCATTTCCCAGTTTCCCAGGATGTTCATTCTGCACATCTTCCTTGTGACCCCCTCTGGTTAGGGGGACTGGAAACTCCCAGCATCTGTTCTCTGACCCTCCCTAGGGACCTGGCTGCTTTGGGAGTGGGAGAAGGGGGAGGCAGGAGGAGGGAGGCCCCCTCACCCCTTGAGCTGTTTTCCAAGAAGGCTGACGTCCCTGGGGCCCACTCTAAGGGTCACTCCTGGCTCCTCCAGGATTGGCCTGAAGTGCCTCTCTGACGGTGCTGCTGAAACTGCTGTTGCTTTAGAAACCAGGCCTTTGGGGGTTTGCTTTTGCAGAGATGGGGGGTGCATTGTCACAGAGCTTCAGGCACAGTTGCAGCAAACCCTGGAAGGAAGAGGCCACTGCTTATTCCTGTGTTACACATTAGGAAACAGGGACAGAGAAGTGAAAGAACTCACCCATGCAGCTAGCAAGGGCAGATCCTGAATTTGAACCAGGACTGCTGCCTCTGGGGGCCATGTGGATTGAGCCATGGTGAGGCCTTGGTTGGCACAGGAGGAGGCTGGAGGCAGGGCCAGGCTTGGGGTTGTGTGGTGGCCTAGCTGTTCTCTGTGGACACAGCTGCAGCAGGGGAGGCCCAGTGCCCTCTTTGCCTGTTTCTGATGAGGAATTGTGTGTGCACAAGAGTCTAGCTCCCCGAGGACAGCGACCAGCAGGTTCTCCATTGAGAAAGGAGGTTTGGTTTTCCCAGTTTCCTTTGGGTTCCTGAAGTCCCTTGCTTCCTGCCTCTATGTTGTCACTATCCAGAGGGTTACAGGCCCTCAGTGTTTGCCCTTTACTGAGTACTGGCACTGCATGAGATGTGGGTCCTACCCTCAGTGGGCATGGGGCATGTCCCTCTCAAAGCAGGCATGGACAGGTAACCAGCTGACTGCAGCAAGGCCTGAGGAGTCCCAGTGGGAGGCCACTTGGTGGGGGCCAGGGAGAGGGAAGTGCCCCCCAGGGCAGGGGTGAGGCAAAAGAGTGGGGTGGGGAGTTCTGCTTCCTCAGAGCCCCCAGTGCAGTCACTGGCCCTGACCATATCATTTAGGGCTGAAGTACGGGCCTTGGCCAGGCCCTCCAAGCAAATGTGATGTGGTCATTCATTCAACAAACATAAACCAAACACAGCTCCTCCCTGTCTGGTGCTGCGCTGAGTGCCGGGGACACAGGGTTTGACAAAAACACAGTCACTACCCTTGTAAGGTGAGGAAGAGGGATATCAAATGATCCCAGACATGAGAAAGGGGATTCCAAAAAGAGCTGTAGTCCTGTCCTGGGATTTGCAGGGTGTGCATCCTTAAAAAAGAAATGTTGGGGCTGAGACCCTGTCGAAGGTGTGGCTGGGAGGGACGGGATTGTTCCTGGCTGAAGGGATGACCTGGGCAAAGGCAGGGCGGGGGGACGGTCAGGCAGTAGGTTGGGAGGAAGACAGGGAGGGTGCCCTGCATGGACCAGTTCAGAGTGTTTTGTGAAAAGGGCCTGCAGCCTTTGCTCACCAGCCACTGGTGCAGTTTAACCAGAGCCTTCAGGAAGCATCCTGGGAGATGGGGGGACCTTGAGGACACTGGGCTGTCACTGCCTCCTGGCTGCAGAGGTGTGGCTGGAGCAGCCTCTGCAGGATAGGAGGGCCTCACACTCTTGTGCTTGGCCATTTGTCATATACTCTGAGTTCACAGCTTTGGGGGCAGCTGTAGTCGGGGGGCGGTTACGGCAGGCTGCTCTCCAAGACCAAGTTCCCTGGGGACAAGCTGAGCTTTCCAGGGCTGAGGCAACTGACCCCACAGTGGCCCTGGCCAGAGGTGAATGGGTGTAGCTCCACTTCCTGCACCCTGGGCTGGGGCCTGGAAGCTCACCTCCAAGAGGGGGTTGCTGGCCTGGTCCATTGGCCAAAGGGGGCTCCTGGTGGTACCCAAACTGTGAACACCCTGCCCATGAGGCAGGGCTTGGGCCTGGGTGGACTTTGCCCACATTGAGAAGTGGGGAGCGAGGTGAGGCCACATCTGCTCCCAGAGCAGCTTGGCACCAGAGGGACCTTGAGATCATGCCCTCCACAGGCCCAGCCCTAAACTATGAGGCCACCCTGTAGTTCCTCTTCTGTCCCTGGACTGATGAGCCAGTGTCACTCATCTCTAAGTTGTTCAGTATGTTTCCCTGACAAAATAAGGACATAATTCTTTACATAATACAATTCCATGATCAACTCATTTCTTAGTGTTACCTCATATCCAGGCCATTTACATTTTCCAGATCCCCCAAATGTCTTTTTTTTTTTTTTTTTGAGACGGAGTTTTGCTCCTTTTGCCCAGGCTAGAGTGCAGTGGCGCAATCTCGGCTCACCGCAACCTCCGCCTCCTGGGTTCAAGCGATTCTCCTGCCTCAGCCTCCCGAGTAGCTGGATTACAGGCATGCGCCACCACGCCTGGCTAATTTTGTATTTTTTAGTAGAGACAGGGTTTCTCCATGTTGGCCAGGCTGGTCTTGAACTCCCGACCTCAGGTGATCCGCCCGCCTCAGCCTCCCACAGTGCTGTGATTACAGGCGTGAGCCACCTCACCCGGCCTTTTTTTTTTTTTTTTTTTTGAGACAGAGTCTCGCTCTGTCACCCAGGCTGGAGTGCAGTGGCGGGATCTTGGCTCACTGCAACCTCCGCCTCCCAGGTTCAAGCGATTCTCCTGCCTCAGCCTCCTGAGTAGCTGGGATTACAGGTGCACACCACCATGCCTAGCTGATTTTTGTATTTTTAGTAGAGATGGGGTTTCGCCATGTTGGCCAGGCTGGTCCCAAACTCCTGACCTCAGGTGATCTACCCGCCTTGGCTTCCCAAAGTGCTGGGATTACAGGTGTGAGCCGCAGCGCCCGGCACCCCCCAAAATGTCTTCTTTGATAGGTAGTTCGAAACACCCTCTCCTTTATTTTTCTTCTTGCAGCTGATGTGGTGAAAAAAACAGGTCAGTTGTCCTGAAGATTATCCTTTTTTGGTCTGTTAAGTGTGTGTTGATCTAGAACAAGGGTTGGCAAACTTTTGCTCTGAAGGGCCAAATAATAAATGGTTTAGACTTTGCAGGCCATATGGTCTCTATCATAACTACTTGGAAGTAACTTTGTTTTAGTGCAAAAACAGACAACATGTAAGTGAATGAAGTGTAGTGTTCTATTAGTAAAACTTTATTTGCAAAAATTTATTTGCCAGGCCTGGCGGCTCACGTCTGTAATCCCAGCACTTTGGGAGGCTGAGGTGGGTGGATCGCTTAAGCTCCGGAGTTTGAGACCAGCCTGGGCAACTCTGTCTCTACAAAAATTAGCCGGGCATGGTGGTGCGTGGCTGTGGTCTCAGCTACTTGGCAGGCTGGGGTGGGAGGATTGCTTGAGCCTGGGAGATTACGGTGGCAGTGAGCTGGACTCCAGCCTGGGCTGGACAGAGTGAGACCCTGTCTCAAAAACAAAAACAAAAACACAACAGGCAGCAACCTTACCATCAGCTGTGTAATCAGCTGTAGTTTGCTGCTTTCCTATCTAGAATAATCTCCCTCGTTTTATTTTTCTTCTTTCTTTTTTTTTTTTCTTGAGACAGAGTCTCGCTGTGTCACCCAGGCTGAAGTGCCGTGGCGCGATCTTGGCTCACTGCAACCTCCGCCTTCCGGATTCAAGTGATTCTCCTGCCTCAACCTCCCAACTAGCTGGGACTACAGCTGCCCGCCACCACACCCGGCTAATCTTTGTACTTTTGGTAGAGACTGGGTTTCACTATGTTGGCCAGGCTGGTCTTGAACTCCTTACCTTGTGATCCGTGAAAGTGCTGGGATTACAGGCGTGAGCCACCGTTCCCAGCCTGCTTTCTTTTTCTTCTTGACATTTGAAAACAAAAACAAAAACAAAAAACAGGTCAGTCATCCTGTAGAATATCCTGCCTTCTGGGCTCGTCTCATTGCTTTCTCATGGAGTCATTAAATTTGTTCCCCTCTCCTCTGTGTTTTTAGCAAATGAGAAGTTGAAGTTAGAGGCTGGTTTAGATTCCAGGTTAAACCTTTTTGGCAGGAATCCCTTGTCAGTGATGCTGTGACTTTGGGCTGCCTTACTTCAGGAGGCATCAGTGTGACAGGCTGTCCTGCAGAGAGTAGAGAGATAGACCAGTGTGTGACTGGGAGAAGTCACATACCTCCATTGCAAACTTGTGCCATTCCTCTTAAACACCAGGTCCTCGGCCAGGCATGGTGGCTCACACCTGTAATCCCAACACTTTGGGAGGCCGAAGTGAGCGGATTGCTTGAGGTCAGGAGTTCGAGACCAGCCTGGCCAACATGGTGAAACCCTGTCTCTACTAAAAATACAAAAATTAGCTAGGCGTGGTGGCGGGCGCCTGTAGTCCCAGCTACTCGGGATGCTGAGGTGGGAGAGTCGCTCGAACCCAGGAGGCAGATGTTGCAGTTAGCCGAGATCGTGCCATTGCATCCCAGCCTGGGTGACAAGAGTGAAACTCCGTCTCAGAAAAAAAAAAAAAACAAAAACCATACCAGGTCCTCTGTCAGTGACGCTTGGGCGCCTGTGAGTATCTGCTTCCTGTCAACCTTCCCCTCTGGTTTAGCATCCACTGGTTCTTGTTGCCTCCAGCATTTGTTCCTTTAGGGGTTGCAGAATGACTTAGCATTTGGTCATTTCTTTGTTATTTATTAGCAAGAATTCTTTCCGAAAGAAGAGCTTTCCATCAACCACCAGGGCAATTTGGTTACAAGAAAGGCCAAGAGACAGGCTGAATTCTTCCTCTTTAATCCTCAGCTTTCAGAGTAAAGAGGGCACTGCTACCGTCAGTGGTGACAAATGAGGGCTTTTGAGGGCTTGGGTTTGTTTGTTTTGCTTTCTCTCTTCTTTTCTAATAATCTCTGTGAATGCACTGCTTTTATGTGTTCCATCTGTTTCCATCAGTTGCACTCATTATTCTTTTTGATGCTCAGATGGTCCCAGCTCGGCCCATTGGAGGCTTCCTGGGGCGCCTCTCACTGCCCCTGTGCTGAGGCTGCCGTTGGGGAGCTGAGGCGGAGGCAGGCCTGAGACTCAGGGCAGGGTCTGAATGGGGTTCAGGTGGGGGCACACCCCCTCCACAGGCATCTGTTTTGCATATGGCCCTGACCGATCACCAGGAGGGAAAGCTCTAAGGGCACGCTTACTTTATGTGGTCCCCTGTTCTTGCCCACCATCGAGCACCCTGTTGCCTCTGACCGCACCCAGCTGCATTGCTTGTGTGACCTGAATAAGGTAGCTCCAGGCCCAGCCTTTGGGGTCAGCAGCACCAGAACTGGTCCCTGGAAAATACCAATAAAGTCCTCCTTTCCAGGCTGCCCCTCCTGCCAGTCTCTGGGGGTGCTGGGGATAGGAGTCCTATGCTGTTGCTTTGGCACCTAGAAGCTGCAGCTCAGCACATGCTGGCAGGACCCTGAGTCACTGGGGTATCAGGAAGGGGTGAGGGCTCTTGGTGAATGTGGGCAGTCGGTAGAGGGTGGGCAGAAGCCCCCGTGCTAGAGAGTACAGGCACCACTTGGGCTGCTGAGAGCGGTAGGGGTTTGAGTCCTTCCTAAAGGGAGCTCCTCTGGTGTCCCTGAGCCATGGGTCCATGAGTGGCCCTGACCCCTGCCCTCCCCACTCCCTATCCTTCAGGCTCCCGCTGGTGTCCCTGGAGCATGGGAGGCTGCTGAGCGTGAGTGGCGGTGTCTGGCAGGAGCTGCGTGGCAGGGAGGGCGTCCATGGCTGCAGCCAACAAGGGTAAGTGCCTTCCTGGCGTGGTAGGACTTGCACAAGCTCTTCCGGTGGGCCCTGGTAGGAGGGCCATTGCTGCAGGTAGGGCCCGCACCACCTGTGTGTGTGTGTGTGCATGTGTGAGTGCGTGTGTGCTGGTGTGCGAATGTGATTGGGACTATGTCAGTGTTTGTGCCAGGTTCTGGGGCTCACGCAAGCCCTAGCAGGACCCCTGCAGAGCCCTGCTGACTCCTTAGGCTGGTCTGTGGAGGTGTGTGCTCTTGTGTCCCTGCCGTTCCACTGTGGGGGTTGGGGGAGCCGAGGGGCTTATGGTGAGCACTGAGACTGGTGATGTGGGAGGGCCACAGCAGGCTGTGGAAGGGAGTTTGGGTTTCTTTCAGAGTCCAGAAGGGATAAGGGAGGGTTTTAGGCCAGGGTGATCTGGTGAGATTTGAGGGTTCTGTGGGGCTCACCAGGGATTGTGGATGTGCCAGGCTGGTCCCCTGGGCCTCCGAGTATCCAAGAGGCCGGCTCAAAGCTGGATCAGGTCCTCCCGCCAAGAGGACCCTGGGCAGGGCTCTTGGTGGGAGGGCCTAGGGGCCAGGGGTCAGAGAGGACTAGGGCCGTGCTCTCGGCCTCTACAGCCTGAGCATTCATCCAGTCCAGGCCTTCAGCTCGGCTCCCGCCTACCCTGCCTGTCTCATCCGTCTGCCCTTTCTGGCCTTGGAGAACCCGACCCAGCTCAGAGACAGCTGAGGGCCTTGATGGTGGGCTAGACAGAGGAAGGAAGGGGGTCTTGAGGTGGGTCTGGAAGCTTCCTTGGATTCTCTCTTCTTGCTGCCAGGGGCCAGTGAGGTTTACTGGCAGCTGCAGCCTCGCCCAGGTGGCCTGAGTGTGTTTTTTGATCCCCCCTGTTTCTGCCACCCCAGGCAGATCCCCCAGAGCCTGTTCCTGTCCCTGCCCTTTCAGGTTTGGGTCATGAGGATGGGCAGGCAGGGGCCTCATGCACTGACACAGCTTAGGGGTAGGCCCCAGGGATGGGGAGCTTTGCACTGTGAAGGAGAGCACTGGGCAGGGTATCCAGAGGACTGGGCTGAGTCCCACGCTGCCCTGGCTTGGTGGGAGTCTGGAAGACTGTCCCTTCCTGGCTCTGGCACCAGCCCCACCCCCTCCAAGCAAGGGTCATATTAGCCAGTCCCTGAGTCCCCCCACGCTCACTCTCAGGGGATGGATTTTTGTGGGAGGGGCAGGTCGGGGCCGGCGGGGAGGCCTCAAGCCTCATGATCCTAGTGTCCATCTAGCCCTGAAAAGAGCCCAGCCAGTGGGAGCTGGATGATGTCAAGGGCAGTCTTGGGGGTGACGAGGGGACAAGGGGGAGGAGTTTCCTGGGGACAGGGAAAGCCCTCAGAGCCCTCTCCCACTCTTCCTAGGCAACAAGCCCAGAGTCCGGAGTATCCGCTTTGCGGCAGGCCACGATGCAGAAGGATCCCACAGCCACGTCCACTTTGATGAGAAGCTGCATGACTCGGTGGTCATGGTCACCCAGGAGAGTGACAGCAGCTTTCTGGTCAAGGTACATGCACACCTACCCCATCAGCAGCTTCTTCCCCTCCCCGGCTCTGCCTGGCTTCTGGGTGCCTATCCCCGTTCCTCTCAGCCGGGCTTATAGGCATGTCTGTGCCTTTCCCTGTGCCTTGGTTGCCCCATCTGTCAGATGGGAGGCAGTGAGATTTCAATGAGATGAGAGCATTTAGAATGTCATCCAGATCAAGATGAGCAGAGCCACTGCTGTCATCTGCTTCACCCAGACAATAGCAATGGAAGGCAGTGTCGTGGCTGTGGTGCCAGTGGCCTGAGTTCAGGTCTAGGCCAGCCATTCTGGCTCTGTGACCTTGGGAAGGTCACCTGAGTTTCTTTTCTCTCAAGTGGAGACAATCACATCCCCTAGAGTTGGTGTGAGAATGGAAGAATGTATGTATGTGATACAGGTGTGAAGCTAACTATGGCAATAACAAGGTGCAACTTTTTTTTTAACCCTTCTTTGCCAAATCTCTGGCTCAGTTAGGCTCTTTGAAGTAGTATTATCACCCCCTGTTTTCTGCTTGGTGGAGCTGGATTGGGGAAAATGGAGACTGAGGCCTTCAGGTTGGTCAATAAATCAGGGGTCCAGAGTTGAACAGGAGTGCCCTTGGGTCGGGGGAGGTCTGGCCCATTGAGATGGCCCTGAGTGGGGGGTCTGCTGCGCTGCTCAAAAGGGGCCCAGGTTTAGCCTGGCCAATGGGTCGAAACCCGTCTCTACTAAAAATACAAAAGTTAGCTGAGCGTGGTGGCGCACGCCTGTAGTCCCAGCTACTTGGGAGGCTGAGGCAGAAGAATTGCTTGAACCCAGGAGGCTGAGGTTGCAGTGAGCTGAGATTGTGCCACTGCACTCCAGCCTGGGCAACAGAAAGACTCTGTCTCAAACAAACAAACAAAAAAGAACCTGGGGGGCCCAGGTTTGTATCCATTTCTGTCCAACTCTGAAGTTCCCACTCTTTGTCCTACAGCTGACAGCTTCCCCAAGAGAGTAAATGGAACAAACCAACACTTAAAAATAGCTCTCTCCCCTCATTGCAAAATCCACTCATGTCTTAATAGACATGAGAAAATTTGGAAGACAGAGAAAATATGAAGAAATTTAAAAGTACCCACAGTCATACTATCCCAAAATAACCATGGTTAATATTCTGATGTGTGTTATTTCAGCTTTTTTTTTTCTTTTTGAGACGGAGTCTTGCTGTCTCCAGGCTGGAGTACAGTGGCGCCATCTCAGCTCACTGCAACCTCCAGCTCCCAGGTTCAAGCAATTCTCCTGCCTCAGCCTCCAGAGTAGCTGGGATTACAGGCGCGTGCCACCACTCTCAGCTAATTTTTTATATTTTTAGTAGAGACGGGGTTTCACTCTGTTGGCCAGGATGGTCTCGATCTCCTGACCTCGTGATCCGTCCGTGTCGGCCTCCCAAAGTGCTGGGATTACAGGCGTGAGCCACCACACCTGGCTTATTCCAGCTTTTTAAAATGTTATTTATTTATTTATTTATTTTTCTGAAAACACTATGGTGATGGATCCAGCTTATTTTAAAAAGCTTTGTTTCCAAAAACAAAAGCTGGCCTCACCGTGTCCACACTGGTTTTTGCTTGCTTCTGTTGTGAACTGTCTCCTACCTGTGTCAGTAAATAATTTTCCACGAGATTTTACAACTGCCTACTGGTCCATGATACGTGTCATCATTGACTTAGCTGGCTCCCTGTTCCTGGGTGTTACGGCTGTTTTTGTTTTCATTGTTATAAATAGGGCAGCGAAGAGTATTTTTCTGCACATCTCTATTTCCCCTGGAAAATTCTATAAGTAGTACCCCTGGGTCACAGGGTCACAGTTAGCAGGTACAGCCAGAAAGCCTTCTTGAGGGATGTGCCCCCTACCAGCAGAGCATGAGGGGGGCACATGGATTGAAGTTTGTCATGTAGCAATATCAACCTGGTCCCATTGAATGGCTAAAACTCTCTGCAGCCAGTCCCAGTTGGCCCCCAGGGATGGGGCTGCCCAGCCCCAGTAACTGTGAGCAGGACTCTGTGTGCCCATGCAAGCTGGGAGTACAGCAGGCACCCTTTGCCTGCTGGCGTGGCACCCCCACCAGCCCCCCTGCTCAGCAACCACCCTGGCTTGTGACCCTTCATACTACTGGAGTTTCCAAGAATGGCATTTGTCCCAGAGGGTGGTTGTCACCAAGCACTGTGAATGAACAACAGAAATTGCTTGGGTCGTGAGTATGGGCCATTGGACACAGCCTTTGAGTGGGCAGGCAGGCATCCCCAGTCCAGTGCCAGCAGGGCAGCCAGGAGCCCCAGTTCAGTGGCTGGTGCCAGGCCTGTGGGCCAGCTCTGGGCTGACACAGCTGGTCTACTGTCATATCTCTAATTTGATCCCATCCCTCATCCCACGCTATCTGTGGCCTGGTGTCATCCTATGAGCGAATGGAGGACCAGCATCCCTGACCCTGGGATACTGGCAGTGATGGGGACAGGTGAATGACCCATGGGACTTTGAACTTTCCCTTGTAGGCAGTGGGTGGTGCCTTGCTGGGTGCCATGCATAGCAGGAATGGCCAAGAAGTCTAGGGAGGACTTGACCCTGGCCACACTACATAGCCTTTGGCCAGTCATTTTGTGGTTTCCATTTTCCTGTCTATGAAATGAGCCACTGAGGACTTTGGGGCCCGTGAGACAGATGCTGAGGATCTTGCTGGCCAAGCTGTAGGGCTGGGACCCTCAAGGGGTCTGTGAAAGGGCTGGGGCCACTGGGCTGGGGGTCGATCAGCTGGAGTGATGGAGGGAGTTGGGCTTTCTGGGCTCTCTGGGGAAGCAGGTGCTGGGGCGCATGGGATCATAGGTGGCACAACTGGGTGGGCCTGCGGGAAGCAGGAAGTGAAGGTGCCTCCCTCCCTCACCTCTCCTGCTGTAGGTTGGCTTCCTGAAGATCCTGCACAGGTATGAGATTACCTTCACTCTGCCCCCAGTGCACAGGCTGAGCAAGGATGTCCGCGAGGCACCTGTCCCCAGCCTGCACCTCAAGCTCCTCAGCGTGGTGCCCGTCCCTGAAGGTGCGTCCCCTCCTCCAGCAGGGCCTGGATGGGTGTGGGAGTGAGAACATGGGGTGCTCCCTTACTTCCAACTAGGGTGGATGGGCAGCTCAGCAAGTCGGGGATGTGGCACCTCTTTGTGAGCTTGCACTGTGGCAGCATGGCAGGTCCCACACTCCAGGCCTTGCTCCCTGTCCTGAACAGAAGTCCATGAGCTCATACTTCCCTGTACCTGCCCATGGTGTGATGGTTACCTCCGTGGGGCAGTAACCAAGATGGGAGCTGCTGAGGAACTGGTTTGAAGCCTCCAGCCTTCCCTCCTGCCTCCCTAACCCTCTAGAAAAACCTGCTGGAGCTACACACACCGTGTGGATAACTCCTAGCACCCACCAGTCCCAGACCTTGGGTTTCAGGCTGCTGTTCCTATCAGGCTCACTTCAGGCCCTGCCCCATGCCCCACTCCCAGCCTGGCAGAGGCTAGGGTGTCAGTTTCGTGGAGCTCCAGCTTCAGTTTCATGTCCCCGTCACCAGCCTCTTCATGACCTTGCCCTTCAATGGATTGACACCCCTCAGGCCTTTACCTCTTGCCATCGGATCTGCTCAAAGCCTACCCTGCCCTGCCCCCCTCACTCCTCATCACCGCCTCTCCCTGCCTTCCTTTTGGGAGAAAACAGCCAGACCTTCTTTTGGAAGCCTGAATTGGACCCTACTTCATTCACTCTTGGAGCCACATTGGGGTGGCCCACAGGCTGGAGGCATGTCCAGCTCACTGAAGAATGGGTTTTTGAGACCTGTGCACCCCTGCTAGGGGGAATGGGTCTCTGGGCTCCAGAAGGGCCATCCCTGCCCCTTTCTTGGGGGGGCTTAGCATGCAGTCCCCCCATGGTGGTGGGTAGGGGCCCGTGAGTGCCAGGGGCAGGATCGGGGAGGCTGGGGGAGGTGCTGACCAATTGCCCCTGTCCCCGGGCAGGTTATAGTGTCAAGTGTGAGTACTCGGCGCACAAAGAGGGCGTCCTCAAAGAGGAGATACTGCTAGCCTGCGAAGGTGGCACTGGCACCTGTGTGCGCGTGACGGTGCAGGCCCGCGTCATGGGTGAGAGCGTGAGGCTCCTGGTTGGAGGAGGGATGCACAAGCTCGACTGCGAGGGTTTCTGTCCTCCTCAGGGAACCAAGGCTGAACAAGGGATCCTTGCCCGGCTCAGGGGTTCTCAACCTCCTTGGCAGGTCCCTACCTCCAGCTGATCCCTGAGGGAAGGGGAGGGGTCCCCTTAGTGGGCCGCATGGGTGGGGCCGGGGGCCAGCATGGCACTGACTTGCACCCTGCCTTGCAGACCGGCACCACGGCACGCCCATGCTGCTGGATGGTGTCAAGTGTGTGGGCGCCGAGCTGGAATACGACTCAGAGCACAGCGACTGGCACGGCTTTGACTGAGGCCCGAGGCCCCGCCTGCCCCGGGCCCCTCAGCCTTAAACCCCGCCTTGTCCCCCCGACATGCTGCGTGATGGTGTGGCTTCCTCGCCCCTCTCTGGGGTGGGTGTGGGGGTGGAGTGGCCTTGCCCACGCCTCTCACCTCTGCCTTCATTTGTGCTGCCACCCTGCCCCTCCCTCGTCCTCCTCTCCCACTTCCTCCTCTCTGTGTGCCTCAGTCTCCTGCCGGAAGAAATGGGTTGAGCCCGAAAGGAGGCTGTCTGAGGAAGGGAGAGGGAGGGCCTGGGGTGGGTCCCCCACTCCCCACCCCAAGCCACAGGGACTCCCACCAGGGTCTGGGAGAGGACGGAGCTGGCTCTGTGGCGTCGTGGCCCCATTACTGCTGCCTTGCTTCAGCCACCTCTCCTGCCCCTCCCTAGTCCCCACTGCTGTCCACCATGAGTAGGAGGGAGGTGCAGTCCCCAGCCCCCACCCCTCAGGTCTGTGTTACTTGGTTTTTAAGCGACTGGTTGGGATAGAACCCTAAAGAAATAAACTTCCAGTGGATACCGGAGGCCAGGTGGATTTTTGTTCTCTGGGGTTGGGGTAATGCCTACTCCTTTGCAGATGGGCCAGGGAAAGACTTGGGTAGACTCACTCAGGAGGCAGGGGCACCGCGTGGTATTATAGCACCTAGCCCCACAAGAGGTATGCACAGGTGGTGGCATTTTAGGCCAGAAGCTGGCTGCCAAGACAATTAATTTGAATGAGGAGAGAGGGACCTCATGTGTAGGCCAGAGAGGTCTTAAGCAGTGGAGTTGTTTGGGATGCTTGATGGGAGACAGCAGCACCCCCTTCTGGTCAGTTCCCTATGCACAGCTGAAAGCTTTCTCCCTTCTCTCTCTAGCACCGGGAACCCTTGCATTCCTCCCACTATTAGGGTCTCCACGCCATATCAGCAGGCTGTGGCTTCCCCTTGAGCATAAATGTTTTATTGTCACCTCAGGGCTCTCAGGCAGGTGGGGCTGTTGCATGCCAGTTAGAGGGAAGTGCCTGACATTTCACACTTTAGGAAACTGAGGCCCATGAGCGGTAAGAGAATGTCCTAAAGGCATACCGAGTCAATAGCAGAGCTGGGACCACCCCTCATTGCTCCCTCTGGCCTCCCCATCCACCCTCCAGCTGCTCTTCCATGGCTGGGGTGGGGTGCAAGTGGGGTCCTTCATAAGCTGACCTTGGGGCCTTCCCAGACGGGTGTTTTGTCTCGAAAGAAATGCTACCCTCATAATTGCCTCCACCACAATAATGTTCCCACCTCCACATTAGAGATCTACTGCCCTTTCCACAATTCACAGTCATATTTGGGTGGTCAGCACCACACCAGGACTGTGCCACCACACCTGTCCCTCTGGAGTCCACTTCCAGTCACTTTCCTACGGCACAGGGTTTTTCTGCCTGGCTCCCGGTTGGGGCTGAGTCGGTCGATGAGTGAACTTCAGCCCTGCAGGTCCAGACCCTGCACAACCTCCTTCCTCCTGCGGCTCCTCCTGCCATCCCACCCCCACCCCTACTCGGCCAAGTTCAGACCAGGACTCTTCTGTTGCGTTCTTCCTTCGGGGTCACATGCCCCTTGCCGGGCTGCGCGCTCTGTCTTGCAAACCTCTTCTCTTACCCGTTCAGTCCTTGGCGGGTCCCTTCAGCCTGGCAGTCAGCGGACCAGTGCCCAATCCCAAAGCCAGTCTCTGGGTGTGTCCCCACCCACTCTCCCATGACCTTATCTCCCCCGGGGCTGGAGGGCGTGGAAAGGCGCAGACTGCAGAACTATCGTTTCCCCCGCCCCAACCCGCTCCGCAGGCCCCTGAACCGAAAGAGGGCGGGGCCGGGCAGACGGCGCTGGCACCGCGCCGGCGCGCCCTCAGTTGGAAAGAAAGTCGATGGACGCGCGCACGGAGCGATTGGTGCTGACGTCGACGGCGGTGACCTTAATTTCGGTGTCGCCAAACTGCATGGCGGCGCGGATCTCGCGGCGGCCGGGAGGCGCGCCGGCGGTGTCCTGGCCGCAGTCGGCGGGCTCAAGCTCGAGGCTGAGCGCGCCGCATTTGCGCACGCCGGGGTCGGTGATGAAGCGCGCATCCTCTGCCGCGCAGCAGTACAGGTTGATGAGTACGCGCCGCTGGCCGGGACGCGCCGGGCAGTAGCTGCGCCGCACCTCCTCGCCCAGGGCCACCGACTGCTCGGCGGCCACGAAGCGCTCGAAGACGTCGGTGCACCAGCGGCGGCCGTCGCGAACCAGCAGCTTTTCGGGCGGGTGGCGCCCAGGCACAAAGCGGTTGAGCACGCCCACGCCATAGGTGAGCGGCGAGCGGCGGACCCGCACCACGCCCGGCGCCTGGCCGAACAGCACCGCGCCTTTGAGGATGGTGAGGCCCACGTCGTGCGGGACCACGACACGCAGACCGCGGGCGCCCAGCGCCGCCTGCACCGCGTGCTGCAGCACCGCTGACTCGGCGAAGCCGCCCACTAGGAACAGCAGCTTCACACCCTGCACCTCCGGCCGTGCCAGCAGGGCCTCTGCGGGACAGGACGGGGGGACGCGGGTGAAGGGGGCAGAGGAGAAGGGGCGGGGGAGAGAGAGCCACTGAGGCCACCACTAGGCGGCCACCGGCGCCTCCCCTCCCTAGCCTGTACCTACCTGGCGACTAGAAAGTAGCCATTTGAGCACTTTCTTTGAGAGCTCACGGGAGTCCTCGAGGGCTTCGCCTCCCCAACACTCACGCTCCCCACTTCTCTCCCACCACGACGTGGAGGACGAGAGATAAGGATATGCATTTTACACGTATTAAACACCTAGACATTGTGTGCAAGACATTGTGCTCACTCTAGGTACTTCAGCTCATTTTATCCCTGTGATAACGTTTTGAGAACCCAATACTATCACCCCATTTTATAAATGGGGAAACTGAGGCACCAGAAGTTTTTTGCCTTGGCAAGACTACATATCAACCCTCTAGCTCTTAATCACCACTGCACTTCATCCCGCAGGTGTTCTAGATGATTCTAGGTCTCATCACAGTGTATGGATGTGTGGAGGTATCTAGGCACTGATGGGGGGGAATTATTCTGCATCTGTTTGTTCATGTAGGGGCGGGTGGGGGACCAAGCTCAGGTGCTCACCTATGTGCTGGATGATCCCGCTGACGGTGGGCTGAAAGAGCTCGTTCATGGCTTCACAAGACATTCGGAGCATCCCCTGTGAGGACCACTTCACGAAGTTCACGCTGTTGGTGGTGAAAGGGGCAAATATCCATCGGTCAGGGCCCAGCTGCTTGCCCCAGTTTGGGGTCCGTGGTCCTTATTCTCTACCTCTGCCTCCAGGCAGAAGTGCCTGGGCACCGACTGCACGTGGTGTCTGGAGGACTGGACCTGCGGGATGTTAGTCCCTTATCTCCACCCTACTCACTCAGAGGATTTAGTTGCCAGCCTGCTCCAGGTTCCAGGTACGAGGTCCTGGGAGGGGCCTCCCCTTGCTTTGGTGCAGGGAAACCGAGGAGCATGGGCCCGCAGGGCCCGGGGTGGGGGTGTAGAGAAGGCTGGGAGGAGATAGGCATTGCCGCCTCCCCGCTATGATTCTCTGTCTTGCCCCAGTTCGGGCTGCGGATTCCGTGGGTGGAGCCTGCTGGGCTGGGGCACTCACTCGCCGCTCCCCGCCGCCCCACCCCGACGCCCTGCTGGCTTAGTGTATATGTGGGATGAATCAGGCAGACCCCCACCGTTCCTTGGGGCCCGGGACCCTCCAGTGCACGGTCATTCCCGGGTCGGCAAACCCTGCCTGAGCCCGCGGGCTCAGGACCCACCTGCTCCTGCGCAGAGCGGTCTCCACGTTGTGGCCCCGCTGCTTGCGGTAGAAGTCAATGAAGGAGAAGGGCAGCGAGATGTTGAGCGCCCCTGCACGGTGTGGGCCAGCAGTGCGCTTGCGAGCCTCGAAGGCGATGGTCAGATCTACCCAGGCTGCCGGCCGTTGCCTTTTGAAGGTGGCGATGAAGTCCTCGCCGAAGATGCGGCACAGCAGCTGCTCGAAGGCCAGGTCCACGCCCACCGCGCCATAAGGGCCCCCTGGGGTGGAGCAGGGGGCGAAGAGGGCGTCAGCGCTCGCCGGGCCGCCAGGGGGCAGTGGCGGGGCCGGAGCCCGGGTCGCGCTGGGTACCGGGGCGCCGCCTGGCTACTCACCAGATGCCTTGTAGAGCTCCTTGAGGGTGCCATGGGGCTGCTCCAGCTGGTGCACCGTCAGGTCCACGGTGCCTCCGCCGCAGTCGGCCACCACGTAGCGGTCTCCTGCGGCGGCGAGCGCGGGCACACACTCGTGGGCGGCCTCGCACCCTCAGCCCTGCGCCCCCTCCAGCCTCGCCCAGCCTCCAGCCCTGCCCCGGGTCCCAAGGCCTGTCTGCAGGGTCGGGGGAGGGACGTGAGGGGCTTCAGGTGCTTGAACCTCAGACCACCACATATGGGCGCAGGGTGTGGGGCAGAAATGGTTCCAGAGGCTCTGCAACTCCACCCGAGCGTCCGCGGAGAATCCCCTGGAGGAGTGGGAGTTAGGGGCGCCGCTGTGAGTGGGGTGGGGGTGCGGGTGACTGTGAGGGGACGGCCAGGTTGGGTACAGCGAATGGAGGAGGAAGAGACGGGCTTTGCAAACATGCCCTTCCCCCCATCAGTATATGGTGCCCGGTAGGGGCCAAGGATAACACTCCGTCCCCCTTTCCCCCTACCTGCTTGCATCTCTGCCCACAGCTCTCCTACGCCTGACTCCACCAGGAACGTGCGGCTGTGGCGGGACCTTCGCAGCTGCTCCCGAGCTGGGGGTCAGGAGACAGCAGGGAGTGAGATTAGAAGGAGGTGCTCCAGCTATGGCGTTCAACTCCCATCCTCCTGCCCAGGACCTCCATGGGCACTGGGAGCAGCCAGTGCTCCTGAAACTCCAACCTGCTCCTGACTGGGAGAGGGCAATCCTGAACCCCAAACTCCCACCCTGTATCCAACAGCTGTGGGGAAATATTTATGGACACAGGGCCTTCCTTTAACGCAGGAGGTCTCAGGTCATGGCAAAATCAGGGTTAGAGGGGTTTGGAGGAGCGGAGGCAGGTAGGTCTTTGGAGTCTCAGAGGGGACTCAGGACTTAGGGCTTCTCCCTGCCCTGGGAGATGGCATTTGGGAGGATGACCATAGCTGTCCTTGGCCTGGGTGCCTGGTCCTGGCAGCAGGAGCTTGGGGCTGATGTGTGTCGGGGAAGATGAGGGGAGTGAAGGGGACAGCTGATGCAGTGGGCTGACTTCCTCCTTTGTCAGTACCCCAGCAGTTTCCTCCTGGGGTAGTCTGTGTCTCCCCCAACCCTCAGACTCAGGGCTGGGCGGAGTCCTGCCCTCCTCAGACTTTGCTCCCCTAGGGCAAGGTGAAATCTCCACCCTGAGATTGGGCTGCCCTAGGTAGGGCATGTCCCACCCTGAGACGAGGTTGCCCTTGGGCAGGGCTGTGCCTCCCTTCCTCAGACAGGCTCCACCAGCCATGTTTCTGCCTGCTCAAATTGGGCTCCTCCAGGGTGGGTACCCTCTCCCCTTCATACTAGACATGGCTGAGCTTCTGGCTTCAGTGACCCTCTGACCCTCCAGGGGTGGGTGGTGTCCCCGGGGGCAGCTCACCCTGACGGAAGCTGGAGTCGATGGAGCGGCGCTCACCCAGGCGCCCACCACCTGGGGCCCGGCCACTCAGGTCCAGGAGCTGGTGCAGGCGCAGCTTGCGGCAGTATACCGAGGCGGCCTCGGGCTCCAGGGCGATGAGTAGCTGCTCTGCATTCTCTCGGGACACTAGTCCAGCCTGGGGATGGGTGGTGGGCAGGGTCAGGCAGCACTGTGGGCTGTCACACCTAAGATGGCACTGTGAGGTGGGGAACCGCGGCCTGTGGGGCTCCCACCTCCTCCTCCATCACACCCCACCCATGTTAGGCCTCTCAGGCCCCTCTGTGCTGCACAAATTTGGAGCTGCCTCATAGCCACGCTGTGACCAGGCTGGGGAGGGAATGGCCCTGGCCAAATATGCCAAGAAGTTGCCCAGCAGGAAAAGACTCTAGACAGAATGCAGACCTAGAACCCCTGGGATCTGCCCCTTCAAATTTCCCAAGATAGCGGGGCTGCAGCAAGGTTCCCCTTCACAGGTACAAGCGGCCAGCTGAGCGCTGGCTGGGGGTATTGGCAGAGACTCTAGCACAATGTGGGGGTGTGTGATGGCTCAGAGGAGGTGGTGGGGAGCCCTTTTAGCTCATTGAACCCTCTTTCTCCACTAGGCTGGTGTCAGACGGTAGCCATAGGCCACCCCACTTCCAGGAGAACTTTGTTCCCAGGGAATCTGATACAGCAGGGAGGAAGCTGAAATTCCAGGCACCAAGACAGGCCAGTTGGGTGGAGAAAAACACTTGAGATCTGGAGTTATTTCCTTCAGGGTAGGGGATCCCTGTGGGAAGTATATTATGGTTTTGTAGGGTTCCCCAGATTCTGACCAGATAGGGGAGAGGGATAAGGGTGTGAATGGAGACTTTTACCCAGGGCCAGACTTTCCTGAGCAGCCAGGGAACAGCGTGAGAAGGAGGGTGGGAAAATAGGCAAGGGGACGCTGGGGGAGCAGGTGTTTGTTCTGGCTGGGGACAGCCTTGCTTCCGTCCTGATCTTTGCACAGGGATGTCCACTGTGCTCAGGGTTAGCTCCTTCCAGTGAAAAGTGTAGACATTTACAGACCTGGCCCTGGGTCATGCCTGGCCCATAGGTATGGGAGGATTGGGGGTCCCTCCAGGGTGTCCACAGGCAGGCTTGAGATCCCTTTTGGACAGCTTAGGGTCTGTATCCAAGGCTCTAGGGTTACGACCAAGCAATGAGTCTTGAGGCTATGCCCTCTCTGTCTCCACGGGAGCCCCCCCCAACTCCTTGCTCTAGACCTTTGAGCATCTCAGTGGTAGGAAGACCTGTATGCATTGGCTAGAATCGCCTCCCTTTATTTCATAGTCCTATTTCCCCTGCTCAAGAACCAACAAAGGTGGGCGGTGGTGGGGGTGTCCCTCAAAATACTGATGCCAAGTGAAGTGAATGTTCTGGGTGCCCTGCCTGCCACTGTGAGTGTTGGCTGCTATTGGCTCACAGCTGCTACCTCCTCTGGATAACTGCCCTCAGCTGAATGGGAATGGCCTCACTTGGAGAGGTTTCCCTCCCATTTCCCCAGAACCAGTGACAGACCGATACGGATGTGCAAGAAGCCGGCCCCAACTCTGTGCTACAGTTCTCCCTCTGCAGCTCCCCATGGGATCTAGCTGAGGCTAAACCTGAGGCTAGACTCCAGCAAAGACCACATCCTTCATAGCTCCTTCTCCTGTCCCGCCTCCCTCCCTCGCCTTTCTCCTGAGAAACCTTCTTCAATAGACCTCACATATAAGACTCTCCATCTTGGCCGGGCGCGGTGGCTCACGCCTGTAATCCCAGCACTTTGGGAGGCCGAGGCGGGCGGATCACAAGGTCAGGAGATTGAAACCATCCTGGCTAACACGATGAAACCCCGTCTCTACTAAAAATACAAAAAATTAGCCGGGCGTGGTGGCGGGCACCTGTAGTCCCAGCTACTCGGGAGGCTGAGGCAGGAGAATGGCGTGAACCTGGGAGGCAGAGCTTGCAGTGAGCCGAGATCACGCCACTGCGCTCCAGCCTGGGCGACAGAGCGAGACTGTCTCAAAAAAAAAAAAAAAAAAAAAGACTCTCCATCTTGGGCTCTGCTTTTAGGACACCTGACTTAAGGCACTGTCTACACTGGCCTGGGCTGTGTCTTTTGTCCCTCTGTCCCCTGTTCCTGCAGGCCCACTCCCTCTTCTGGTGGGAGCAACTCTACAAACTCCCATCAGGAGCAGGCTGAAGTTCTTTCCACAATGACTCTGTGGTCTCAAGGGTGGTGGGGTGCATGCAAGCATGGGGACAGGCCTGGCCCTTCCTGAGCAGTGTTCTCGGGCCCGCCTGCACGTCCTCACCAGGTAGGCAGCCTCCCGCATGAACTGCTTGGCTGGCTGTTTCCAGATGGCAGGCACCGTCAACACCCAGCGCACAGTGTCCTTCTCTGGCAGCGATGGGCTCTGCTCCCTCAGCTCCTGGTACAGGAGGGGGCAGTGAGAGGAAAGCTGGCTTGGAGGGAGGGTGGTCTTCAGCCCTCTGCGGAACTGGAGGTACTAATCAAATCACAGGAAGGACTTCCCAGCAGAGCTGGAAGAATCGGCCCCCCTCCCATCAGTATGGCTTGGTGCAGGCTCTACCAGACAAAAAGGGAGGAGGGTACTGGAGAAGATGACCTCTGAGCTCCGGCGGTGGCTACCCATCCAATGTCGGGGACGGGATGGGGGAGCGGTTTCGGATGAGGGGAAAATAGGGGGTCCCTGCCACAGTCGGCAGAGGTGGGGCCGCAGCGCACCTGAAGGGCGTGCTCCCTGAAGAAGCGCAGGGCATGGGCGAACACCTCCAGGGCGGGCATCGTCTTTCCATTTACTGCCTCTAGCTGGGTCTTCAAGGTGAGATCCTGGCAGGGACACAGGGCGGCTCTGCAGGAGGCCTCAGCTTGGCACTCATTTCCTGACGACCTCGCTCTTAAAATCACCCCGTTTCCTGGAGCTTCCCCTCCTCTTTACCACCGTCCCACTCTTGCCCCATGTGACATTAGCTCTGCCCCGACCCCTCTCCTTAGCCCCACCCCTCCTGCAACCCCAGCTTCACTATTAGCCCCACCCACATTAGCCCCGCCTCCACCTCATTTCTGAGCTCCGCCCACACCGGAGTCCGACGTCTCCCTTTAGCCCCGCCCCCTCTCAGCCACGACTCCATCGGGCCGGTCCTCACACGTTTTGGTTTTGTCCCACCCACCCCCATTAGCCCTGCCCTTTTCCATGCTGGCCCCGCCTCCCTGTCTGGAGCCCTGTGACTCACCGTGGCGCTGTGGATCTTCATCTTGAACTTCTCGAAGTAGAGCCAGTCCCGCGCCTCTTCGGGGTCCAGGTCATGGTAGTAATCGCGGGCGGTGTAGCCAAAGCTGTGGAAGGCGCCCTCCGGAGTCAGCAGCAGGCAGGTCGGGGTCTTCTGGTGGGCCACGCCCGGGTCTCCGCCCTCCCATTTCCTGCGGAGGCACAGGGCAGTCAGTGCAACCCTCCCTTCTTGGGTGGGAATCCAGGCAGAGGGAACAGCATGTGCAAAAACTTACAGATGTGAAAGAGCAGGGAGAACTAGCTATGGGTCGGCTCCATAGGCAGCAGGAGAAAACACAAGAATGCTAAGGTGAGATCATGAAGAGCACAGAAGGCCATTCAGAATTCTGTCTTCGTGGATTTAAAGTAGCCAAGAGGTATGACCACATTTGCCTTTAGAAAGAAAGGTCACTGGCTCCCATGGAGCAACAGAATGCAGGGAAGGGAGCATGGAGAAAGGAAACCAAGGAGGAGGATATTGCAGCCATCCAGGTGAGAGAAGGTCGGGGCTGAACTTGGGCACGATCAGTGGCCATGGAGAGAAGTAGATGGGTATTCTAGAGATGTTAGGGGCTTGGTGTCTGGTGGGAAGAGAGAGCTTGGGAGGAGGCTGGAATGTCCCCCAGTTATTTCCTGTGACTGTCACCTCCACAGGACAGAGACAGTGTTCCTGGATGTGTCCTTAGCCCCAGCATGGCCTCAGCCATGTGTGTTGATCAGCAAGACATCTGGGATGCCCTGCAGCTCCTAGAGGGCTGTAAGTGCTCAGAGCCTTTGTGGTTTCCTGTGATGTGGAAGGAAGGACAGTCCAGTCTCATGAAGCTCAAGTCCCATGTATTTTGGGAGCAGTTACCTGTCTGTCTATGTCTCCATTCACCCTTCCATCCAGTCTCCAGGCCTTGGGAAGCCCCTCTTACCTCCCATCCCAGTCTGGGTTGAGAGCTTTGAGGTCTCCTGTAGCTTCACCTACTGCCTGCCGACCCTCTAGGACATATTCAGAGGACTGGGGTCTTGAGGTCCCAAGGTCCTTGAGGTCCCACATAAAACCCAACATTTGAATGGATTTTTGAAACATGTCTTTCAAAACAACTGTGTGACTTGTCAACTCAGCCCTTAGAACCTTCATTTTCTTGTTTTTATTTTTATTTCTTGTTTTATTATTTTTTCTTTTCCTTTTTACTAAAAAAGGAAAAGAAAAAAGATTTGAGATGTTGGACCTAGGAATCACCTCTAGGAATCTACCCCATGGAGATTGCGGCACAAGTTTTCAAAGAAGGATATTACTGCTGCACTTTTTGTAATAGTGAAAAATGAGAGGAGGAAAAAACCCCCCTAAAACTGTCAATAGGGGAATGGATAAATTATGACACATCTGTACTATGGAATACTAGGCCGTTCAAAGAAAGTGGTAGCTTCGTATGTGCTGACATGAAATATCTACAAAATAGTGTTGAAGCTTTAAAACAAAGCAAGTTGTATATCTCACTTTTACTTAAAAAAACACATATATGTTTGTATATGTGTGTGTTTGTCTACAAGCTTAGAAAAATATTTGTGGGCTGGGCATGGTGGCTCACGCCTGCAATTCCAGCATTTTTGGGATGCTAAAGTGGGATAATCACTTGAGGCCAGGAATTCAAGACCAGCCCTGGCAACACAGTGAGACCCTGTCTCTCCAAAAAAAAATTTTTTTTTTTTTTTAAATTAGCCAGGTGTGGTGGTGCTGTCTGTAGTCCTAGCTACTCAGGAGGCTGAAGTGGGAGGATTGCTTGAGCCCAGGAGTTTGAGGCTGCAGTGAGCTATGATCACACCACTGCACTCCAGCTTGTGTGACAGAGCGAGACCCTGTCTCAAAGAAAAAAAAAAAAAGGCCAGGTTGGTGGCTCACATCTGTAATCCTAGCACTCTGGGAGGCCGAGGCTGGCGGATCACCCGAAGTCAGGAATTTGAGACCAGCCTGGCTAACACGGTGAAACCCCGTCTCTACTAAAAATACAAAAAAAAAAAAAAAAATTAGCTGGGTGTGGTGGCGGTCGCCTGTAGTCCCAGCTACTCAAGAGGCTGAGGCAGGAGAATGGCATGAACCCAGGAGGCAGAGCTTGCAGTGAGCTGAGATTGCGTCACTGCACTCCAGCCTGGACAACAGAGTGAGACTCCGTCTCAAAAAAAAACAAAAAACCCCACAAAAGTTAGCCAGGCATAGTGGCGCACACCTGTATTCCCAGCTACTTGGGAGGCTGAGGCAGGAGAATCGCTTGAACCCGAGAGGTGGAGGTTGCAATGAGCTAAGATCGTGCCTTTGCACTCCAGCCTAGGCGACAGAGTGAGACTCCGCCTCAAAAAAAAAAAAAAGGAAAATAAAAAACATTTGCATATTTTATTGTTATGTTTGTTATATCTCAAAAAAATTCAAAATTAAAAACAAAGTCTGACTTTTCCTACAGAGGGTTGGGAGCTGCTCCAGTTGAGGCCAAGGACCCAGGCCTGGGGCCCATCCTCCAACTTTTACCCCAGTGGGGAGCCCCAGACTGGGGGTGGCAGGGCCTCCAAGGAGACCCCATGTCTCGGTGACAGTACTTTTGGGACCAAGGTATGAGGAACTCCCCACCTTCCCCACCTCACTCTCTCAGCCCAGCCGACCTCACCTCATCATGTGGATGGCCTCAGGGTCACTGGCAAAGCTGAAAGCATAGCCACTAGACGTGGTGCCGAAGTCAATGGCCACCACCACAGAGAAGGAGGCCTGCTGGGGGGCTCGGACCTCGGGTTTCTGCAAGTGCAAGACTTAGAATTAGCAAGCAGCCAGCAGGGACACCCCCATCCCCCACAGCCCCAATGCTTCCTCTGCATGGGGAAGACACTCCCCTCCACTGACTGTGGTCCAGACCAGCCCTGGACCTGGCCCACCCCACCTGCCCACCTGCTCGGGCTCCCTTGCCCTCCCAGGCTCCAGGCTGAGCCTTGGACGTGTCTCTCAGGTAGCCCCAGGCAGGGTTTGGCTCAAGCTCCTGCTTTCCTGCTTCCAGCCTCTGCCCACCCTCCCTCTGGACTGCCTTAGCCCCACCCCCACCTCACACCATCTTCATAGGCAGCCATTAGTCTGGGCCCAGCTGGGAGCAATTTTGCTCCTCCAGGCAGTTTTACAGCACATGGACCAGTGTATATATTTTATCCTCTTGCTCTTTGTGGCCATAGTGACACAAACCAGACTGTCTGATTCTGTGGCAGAGAGGAGAGGGCACGTGCATGTCCCCAGAGAAGTGTGTGCCTTCTCCTATGCCAGGGCTGGACTCCCCTAAGAATAAGGGGGTCCCTAAGCTGGATCACCAGGGCAAGGTCATCCAGGTGGGGTGACCCAGGGAGCTTGGGGGTGGGGAGGTGGTGTCCTGGATACTTCAAGCTAGTAGTTTCCTTTTTATTTGAGACAGGGTCTCACTCTGTCACCTAGGCTGAAATGCAGTGGTGCGATCTTGGCTAACTGCAACCTCCGCTTCCCAGGTTCAAGCAATTCTCCACCCTCAGCCTCCCGAGTAGCTGGGATTACAGGTGTGCACCACCACGCCCAGCTAATTGTTGTATTTTTTGTAGAGATGGGGTTTCGCTGTGTTGCTCAGGCTGTTCTTGAACTCCTGAGCTCAAAGCAATCTGCCCACCTCGGCCTCCCAAAGTGCTGGGATTACAGGTATGAGCCACCATGCCCAGCCCAAGCTAATGGTTTCCAGACTATTTTTTTTTTTTTTTGGCAACACATCTCCTCTCCTTCAGATATGACTTGGATTAAGGTGGGCTGTGGTCCACAAGAGGCCCAGTGCTCTGGGGACCTAGAAAAGCCACATGCTCAGGGGAACACTTGCCTCAGCCAGGCCAGCTTCAATGGCCGTGGGTGCCTCCTGTGTGGGGGGGTTGGGAGTTAGTTACATGGGGCTCGCCTTCTCAGTAGAATTGTTACCCTTTATAGTCCAGGGTCACCCAAGGCCAATCCTTCTGGGGGGCACATGACTGGAGTGTACGGGGACAAGAGGCATGGTGCTACCCCCATCCCCTCCTCCTTCCTAGCTGAGGCCCTGTCATGACTTTGCCACGCACGACCCTGTCCACACCAGCCAGGTCACCCACCACCTGGTCCCTGCTCTGGGCTTACTGGAGACTGCGAGGGTGTGAGGGGGGCAATGCCGCAGCTTTCCTGGGTCCTCGGGGAGCCGGGTGGGCTAGGCACTGGGGACCGCTCCGGGCTGGAGCCTGCAGAGAAGAGACGGCAGTTCATCCTGGCACAAGCAGGGTAGGTATGGCAGCGGGGCCCCAAGCCAGGCACCCAAAGGTTCTCCATCAGTCCTTGCTGGGCTAAGGCAAAGGGCTCTCTGCTGGGGAGGAGGACTGCGGGGTGTAGGAAAGACACACATGACGCAGGGGCAGGAGCTGAGGGTCTGCTGTCAGAGGCAACGTTTCCCTAGCAGATGACCCATGCTTTCCCCAGGAGCTCACTGTCTCCCCACTAGGGCCCCTCAGACACACAGTGTGGGAGGGGAGAGAGACAGAAAAGCATTGTGTGGCAGGGAGACTCAGTCCAGAGATGGAAGGGCAGGGGAGATAGGGCAGGTGAGCTCCTGGGAGGGAGTAGAGGAGAGAGAAGCCCTCCTCCTTCAAAAGGTGGAGCTACAGAGCTAACTGGCTAGGAGGTGGGGTTGCTCCCCTCCACCCTAAAGTTGGGCCACGTGGTTCTAATCAGGACTTGAGGGAACTCTG
The DNA here is from genome assembly GCF_000001405.40 of Homo sapiens. Classification (NCBI taxonomy): domain Eukaryota; kingdom Metazoa; phylum Chordata; class Mammalia; order Primates; family Hominidae; genus Homo; species Homo sapiens. The sequence continues at coordinate 3,740,310 of NC_000020.11, read as the reverse complement.
CAGCTCCCATGCCCACAAGGGCCACAGACAGGCCCAGCTGGCTGCTTGAGGAGGATCGAGGAGGGGGAGCACCTCCTCCCACACCCATAGAGATAGCCCAGTCCTGAACTGGGGGTGTCCACAACATTAGGAAGTCTGATTCCCACCCCCCACACACACACATACACACACCCTGAGCCAGCATTTCAGGGCAGGACGCCCCATCAAGACCCTCTTGCACGCCTGGGACTGAGCTGGACCTTTGGTGGGAGGGAGTGGAGTAGCCCTGGAGGACAGCCCCAGGCCTCGCCCCGAGGATCAGGCGGCTTATGGGGCAGGAGGGCCTGCCTGGCTGGTAGCTGCCACCACCACACTGGGCATTGCTAAGGGGCATGTGAGGAGTACTGGGGCAGCCTTGATATCCATGGACAGGCCAGGGAGGCTGGCTAGGGAGGGAGAGTGAGATCTGGTAGGAAGCTCCATGGACAAATCAGGCAGGTCTGGCTCGCCTTAGGCTGAGCCAGGCAGGCCCTGTGCTCCCTCAGCCACAGTCCTGTCACGTGCTGCCAGGCAGGTCTCCACTCTCCCTGGCCTTGGGGGTAACCTGGGAACACAGGCGAAGGGCCAGGCATGAGGGGGACTCTGGGAAGCGCCTGGACAGGGCCAGAGTCTGAGGTGCTGGAGGGGCAGGGAAAAAGTGGCCACATTTCAAGGGCTCCCTCTCCTCAGGCAGCCAGGGCAGGCTCCAGCCCTGCCACCAGCTGCAGCCCGAGAGGCCAAGTTGCTGTGGCTCGAGCTTGGGAAGGGAGGCAGGAAGGAAGGGCCCAGCCCACCAGGTCTTTGTGAATGGACTTCCTGAGGAGTGTCCCTCTTGCCTCCGGCCTCCCACCCCTGCGGAGAACCCAAGCCTGCTCCCAGACCAGGCTATGGCCAGACGCACATGCACACGCAGAACTCTCTGCATGCGTGCCCACCTGCAGACTATACTCCCGTACACAGATCCTGTGCACAGAGACCTGCCCGCAGAGACACACACTCACTGATGCACTCACACGGGGTCCTGTGCACATGGCCTGAACAAAACACATGGACATTCAAACACTCCTGTGCACACAGACCCTCCATGCACACGCAGAACTCTCTGTATGCATGCCCACCTGCAGACTATACTCCCGTACACAGATCCCGTGCACAGAGACCTGCCCGCAGAGACACACACTCACTGACACACTCACACAGGGTCCTGTGGACAGAGCCTGAACAAAACACACGCACATGCATACACTCCTGTGTGCACAGACCCTTCTGGCACACACAAACACACGCACTCAGCCCACACTCATATACACATGAGGGTCCTGTGAATAGACCAGTCCTGTGTGCACACATACTCACATACACAGACCGGTGCACACAGACCCTTTCTGCACACACAGGGGGGTCCAGTAAACACAGACCTGCCCTGCACACATGCACACACACACACACACTCACTCACAGAAGAGCTGTTGGGAAGCTCTGTGGGAGAGGTACATTGCACAACCTGTAGGTGGGTCTCAGTGCCTGCTCGGGTGAGTGGGTGATGGGTCAGGGCAGAATGGTGGGGGTTCTTACCGATGTACAGCCCCTGCAGGCCCATCTCCGGGACAGCCAACATCCTTGCAGGCCCTGTAGCTGTCAACAGGAACAGACAAGCAGAGTGGGATTTATTTGTCCCTTTGTTCCCTCATCTGAATGCTTATTTATTTTATTTGTTTACTTTTGGCTGGAGTCCTTTGAAGCAAATCCCAGCCATCATGTTGTTTCACCCGTGAACTCTTTAATACATCTCTCCAACAGATAAAGACGTTTTAAACAATGTCATCGCAACACCATTCTCATGTCTAATGAAATTAACAGTAATTCCTTAAATCTCATCTAAAGTCCCACAGTTCCCAGCTTGTGTCAAAAAATGGCTTTACTTTCTTGGAATCAGGATCCTCCTAAATGTTTTCTGGTGCCTGCTCTGTGCCAGGTGCTGGGAGATAGTGACCCAGAGAGACACTGTCCCTGCCCTAGAAACCAACGGTCTGATGGAGGAGATAATCAGGCAAGTGATTTTGAAATGACAAGCGTTGCTGAGTGCTAGGAAGGTCAAAGTTGGATAATGCGGGGTGGGAAGAGGACATGGTAAGTCTGGACAGAGGGCTGGGCTGGGCTTACCCTGCAGGCAGGGCCTGTGCACCCTATTTCAGATTTGATTTTATATGAAGGGCAACAGCAAATCTTGAAAGGTTTGAGGTGGCAGGGTGGGGTGGGGGCATGACTCAATTTGTCTTTTCTTTTTTCTGAGACAGGGTCTCACTCTGTTGCCCAGGCTGGAATGCAGTGGCACGATCTTGGCTCACTGCAACCTCTGCCTCCCAGGTTCAAGCCATTCTCCTACCTCAGCCTCCTCAGTAGCTGGGATTACAGGTGAGTGCCTCCATGCCCAGCTAATTTTTGTATTTTTAGTAGAGACGGGGTTTCGCCGTGTTGGCCAGGCTGTTCTCGAACTCCTGACCTCAGGTGATCCGCCCACCTCGGCCTCTCAAAGTGCTGGGATTACAGGCATGAGCCACCGTGCCTGGCCTTCGTTGTTTGTTTGTTTTGAGATAGGGTGTCACTCTGTCACGAGGAGAACCTACATTTAAAGGCTGAACAGAGGAATATATACCGGCCCAGGAGACTGAGATGCCTCATGGTCTCATGAAGATTGTACCAAGAGATGGGTAAAGCTAGATCCCTGTAAAAGGTCCCCAGATGAGACTGGAAACACTGTTTTAGTGGCCCAAGGGAGGTAAGCTTAGGTGAGGAGTGAGCAAGAGGTGACATGAGCTAGAACTTCTTTTCTTAAGATGGAGTTTCACTCTGTTGCCCAGGCTGGAGTGTAGTGACGCAATCATATTGAGCTAGAATTTCTGAAAAGCTTGGCTGAAATCAGGAATACATGTGAGGGCAGTAGTTGGAGGGCGCTAAAGCTGAAGGGAGGTGAGGAAGAATATTTATTTTCTAAGATGGGAGGGGCTCGATCCTGTCTATGAAGTTCTGGGGCCAGGCTATAGGCAGGATATTTCAAACCATCAACAGCTTTGTTACTCAAAGTGTGGGCTGAGGATCAGCAGCATTGGTATCACCTGGAAGCTTGTTAGAAATGCAGAACCTCAGGCCCCAGCCCAGACCTGCTGAATCAGAACATGTATTTCATATTTATTTATTTATTTATTTATTTATTTATTTATTTATTTATTTATTTTTGAGGCAGAGTCTCACTCTGTCCCCCAGGCTGGAGTGCAGTGGCGTGATCTCAGTTCTCAGCTCACTGCAATCTCCATCTCCTGGGTTCAAGTGATTATCCTGCCTCAGCCTCCCAAGTAGCTGGGGCCACAGGCATGCGCCACCTAATTTGCCTAAAATGCCACCTAAAAATGCCTGGCTAATTTTTGTATTTTTAGTAGAGTCGGGGTTTCACCATATTGGCCAGGCTGGTCTCGAACTCCTGGCCTCAGGTGATCCGCCCGTCTCAGCCTCCCAAAGTGCTGGGATTACAGGCGTAAGCCACCGCGTCTGGCCTATTTTAACAAGATTCCCAGGTGATTCAGGTGCACATTGAAGTTTGAGAAGTGTTGCTCAACAGTGTCTCTCAGCCAGTCTGCAGACCACTGACACTATGTTCTCATTGGTGGGCCTGGCTGCTCCTCTAAACAAAGGAGGAGGCTACGCAGGGCCAATGCATTCCTTCTCTGTCACCAGCGGCCCAATCTGAAAGTTTTGCTATAGAACACAGGCAGACACAGAGCTGGCTCTGGCATGCCCATAGACACATGCACACACCCTTGCTCACACAGTTCACACAAACCAGCCCCATTGTGGACAGACACCTGGACTCCCACACACTCTTGTATGTCCAGGATTCTCCTGCATGGCCAGCACCATGGAGATTTCCAGACACTCTTGCTGTCCTCTGTACCATTGGAGTTGGATGCTCAGGAATCAGAATCAGAAGAAGGATGGGTGCTGGTTGTGGGCATGCATATAGCAGCTGGCTGTTGAGGAGAAAAGGGAAAGCACAGAGAGGGGGAGGGGAGGGTTCTTAGGAGCCAGGGGCAGGAGCCCAGAGCCCAGCTCAGGATGATGGAGTGGGATGCTGAGCTGGGTCCCACCAGCTCATGCGAGCTGATTCTTTCTATCTCTTCCCAATTCTGCATTCAATGACATCACATTGGTAGCTTCAAATCAGTCATGGCTGGGAGTATTTACAAGACAGAAATTGGCAAACACCATAAATCAGGATTTTATCCTTCTTCCAGAGCTGATTGGAAACCATTAACCAGCATACTACTGGATCAAGGTCTCGAGGGAGGAGCTGGCAGCCTTATTTGTATGTTGTTCTGATTCTTCAGCAAACACTTATCGAGATTCTTCATGCCAGGCTCTGTGCTAAGCACTGGGGAACCACTTTGTTGAATGAATGAATGGATTTTCTGGACCGAGGCTATTGTATCTGGAGGAGAAACAACCTAGAACCACCAGAAAAAAAAGACTCTGGGCCGGGCGCCGTGGCTCACTCCTGTAATCCCAGCACTTTCAGAGGCTGAGGCAGGTGGATCACCTGAGGTCAGGAATTCGAGACCAGCCTGGCCAACATGGTGAAACCTTGTCTCTACTAAAAATACAAAAATTAGCCAAGCGTAGTGGCAGACGCCTGTAATTCCAGCTACTCAGGAGGCTGAGGCAGGAGAATCGTTTGAACCTGGGAAGCAGAGGTTGCAGTGAGCCAAGATCGCGCCATTGCACTCCAGCCTGGGCGAGAAGAGTGAGACCCCATCTCAAGAAAAAAAAAAAAAAAAGACTGAGTCCTCGCTCTACACTGGATTCCACATCCAAACCATGGGCCTATACTCTTCCCAGCTATCGGAAGCTTGTCCAGTTATCTACCGTCTCTCATTGTGCGATATGCTGAGTGCCCCTATGCTGGGGTTTCAGGGATGGCAAGAGCCTATTATGGCACCTAGCGTGAGTGCATCATGCCACATCTCTGTGCCTCAGTGCCCTTTCCTGTAGAATGGGTGACACAGAGGGCTTATGTTAACAAGTCCAGATATGCAAGGTATTGATAAAAGCAGGGAGTTGGGCAGGTTTGAGCAGTGTTCTTTCCCTTCATGATGCAGATTCTGAATTTTCTTGTTAGATATTTTGGTCTTACTGAGAATCGCATTCTAGTCATCATGAGTTCTTTAAGGAAGGAGGTAGGAACTAAATCAATCTGTGTTAAGGGCTGGGTGTGGTGGCTCATGCCTGTAATTCTAGCACTTTGGGAGGTCAAAGTGGGTGGATTGCTTGAGCTCAGGAGTTCGAGACCAGCCTGGGCAACAGCAAAACCCCATCTCTACGAAAAATACAAATATTAGCCCAGCGTGGTAGTGCATGCCTAGAGTCCCAGCCACTTTGGACGCTGAGGTGGGAGAATTGCTTGAGCCCGGAAGGTTGAGGCTGCAGTAAGTCATGATCACACCACTGCACTCCAGCCTGGGTGACAGAGTGAGACCCTGTCTCCAAAAAAAAAAAAAAAAAAATTGTGTTAAAGAAGGAGGATCCCACGGATTCCCCGAGAGGTGGAGGTAAGCCAAGAGGTGGCTGACTGCCAAGCGAGCACACACACCCAGGGACACTTAAGGAGAGTGCTGACCACAGAACACGGGACAAGCCCAGCTCCCGAAAGCTAGGTCTGGGCAGAGTCCACAGCTGAAAATGAGGGGAGGCTGAGCCCCGCTTCAGGGGCCTACTAATTTCAGACTGGTGGTGCCTATGGGTTTGAGAGTAATTGAGTGGGACAGTTTGATTTACACAGAAAGGAACTCCATTTCCTGGCTACAAGCACATGCCAAACTCTGGCCCCAGCCTGATCCCTAACCCTGCCCATGGACTGACCCCTAACTCTTGGCTTCATATTGACCTCTAGTCATCAGCTTCACCCTGACCCCTGGCCCTGACTTCTACCCAATAGGCAGGGCCGATTAGTCACTGGGGACCAGGATAGGGTGTGGCCCAGCAGGAACTCACAACCAGAGACTCCCATCCCAGAGTATCCCCTGGTCTTACAATAGCCTAGGACGAACCCTGCCCCCACTCCCGCTCCTTTTTTTGAGACAGGGTCTTGCTCTGTTGCCTAGGCTGGAGTGCAGTGGCACGATCACGGCTCACTGCAGCCTCGACCACCTGGCCTCAAGCGATCCTCCCACTTCATCCTCCCAAAGTGCTGGGATTACAGGCGTGAGCCACCTTGCAGGGGCCCAACCCTTTGCCTGACAGAATCCTCGGAGGATCTCTTCCTGTGTGGGGTGTTTCAGCTGGGCGCTCATGTCCCCAGGAGCACTATGGGAATGCAGTGTTCTGGGTTTCAGGGCTCCACACGATGCCTGTGTAGACAAAGAGCCCACCCAGGTCATTCCAGCTCCCCTCCTCACTAGGACCCTGCCTCTTCCGCCTGCTGCTCTCTGCTCAGCACCCAGCCAGCCCTGTAATGGAACAGGACTCCGTCAGCGGGCTAAGTGAGGCCACAGGCGTTTCTTCCAAGCCACAGACTGGGCCAACCAGGGCCCAAAGCACAGATCAGAAACGGCACCCAAAGGGCTGCCCCACTCTGTTCTGGAGAGGAGCCCTTAAGAAGATGGGACCATGTGTGGCTGAGTGAGGTGGCTGCCCCATCCTGCGCTGGGGCAGGGAGTGACAGAAATGGCCTCCCATGGCCCCTCCCTGTCCTCATCTTTGCTTTCCATACATCCTGCCGCACCCCCTTGGGTCCTCATCATGGGAGCAGCCAGTTCACAAACAACAGAGCCCCTCCCATGCTCTGCCCACAGCCCCCCATTACCCCTCTGGCCTGGGATTCCTGCGCTGCGTCTGCTCTCCGGAGGGTCCCTAGTTTCGTGATCACTCCCTTCCAGTCTCTCTCATCAACACACGCTAACCTCACAGATAGGCTCCACTGCCCTAGCGGGAACCTGGACCCCACCCCACCTGGACCTCAAGCTGGCCCGGAAGACCAGGTCCCAGCCTCAGACCCTGGCACCTGGGCCACTCAGTACTCTGTTGCGCTTCGGGACCACAGGGCCTGGGACCCCTGAGGCACCCCCCAACACACACACATACACTCAACTCCCAGGTTTCCACCTCAGACCTAGGCACCGGGTCCCTCAGTTTGGCTCCCTGGAGCAGGCCCCAGCCCACACCAGTCCTGCCAGCCCCTAAGACACAGGAGTTTCTCCAGCCTAAGCCTCTGAGCAGCTGTGCGAGGGACAGGGGAGGTGGTCCCCCGAAGCCCAGGTGGGAGACCAAGGTCGCTGCCCCAAGTGCCTTCCCGAGCCCGCAGCCACGCTGCAGAGAGGGGCTTGCAGATCTGTCCCCACCAGACAAAGTCTGGAGGTTTTTGGTGGGGTCTCAGCCGACAGCCCGGGACGGCAAACCTCCTCGCCTTTCTCCACTCGGGGCGCCCGGCAGCCCCCGCCCCAGAACTCACCTCCGCCCTCCCGACAGCTCCAGCCCCGTCCAGCCGCCGCGATCCCGGGCCCGCAGCTCGTTGGCCGTGCCCGCTGCGGCGGCCGCAGCCCTCGACGTGCGCCCGGCCCTGAGGCCTCCCGCCTCCTCGCGCCGCCCACCCCGCCCGCCGCCCCCTCCCCCAGGCCGGATGGCCGCGCCGCCTGCGCCGCCGGGTCGGCCCGCGCTCCCGGCCCAGATGTGCGAGGCCGGGGCGGGGCCTGCCTGCGCGGGCCTCCGCCGAGGGGCCCAGCCTGGTCCCGCGTCCAGGGCCCCTCCCTGAGCCCCTCCTGCGCCTCCCCCGCTCCCCTAGCAGCCCAGGGGGTGGGAGAAGGGAGAGGGGGCGGCGGAGGGAGGGGAAGAGGAGTTCCAGACCCTGGTCGGCCTCCTGCGGTCCAGCTGCTGAGGGGCTCCCCCGCCCCGCCCCCACAGGCCCACCTTGGGGCTCAGCCTCGGCCCCTTCAGCGAGGGCCCAACAGCGGAGGGGGAAGGGCCCGCCCTAGACCCCTCCACTTCCCTGCCCCAGACCCCTCCAGTCCCTTGACCCGGAACCCTCTCTCCTCCCACCCCTACTGCCCCTACAGCTTCCCTAGCCCGGTCCTCAGTGGCCAGAAAAGAGGCAGAATTGCGGATGAGGGCAGGCCCTCGGGTCCCCAGGCTAGGCCTAGCTCTGTCTTTGCTCAAGTTCAGACGACGGAGGCGCGGAGTCTCACAGACTGAGGCCCCATGCCCGGCAAGGGGACCACTCCGCACCAGGGGGCACCCAGCCTCTCCTCCGAGGCACACAGCCTTTTTCTTGTCCTAACCGGGGCCCTTCTGGGGATGCTGGGACTTGGCCTCCAGACAGGGGGTTTGTGGGGTGAAGGTCTCTTTCTGGGCTGGGAACCCGTGGCTCATGCCTGTAATCCAGCGCTTTGGGAGTCTGAGGTGGGAGGATGGCTTGAAGCTGGCTGGGCAACAAAGACCAGCCTGGGCAACAAAGGGAGACCCTGTCTCTAAAAAGTTTTAAAAATTAGCCAGGTGTAGTAGCTCACGTCTGTAGTCCTAGGTACTCAGGAGGCTGGGGTGGAGGATTGCTTGAGCCCAAGAGTTTGAGGCTGCAGTAAGTGTGATCACACCACCGCACTCCAGCTTGGGTGACAGAGAGAGAACCTGTCATAAATAAATGAATGAACGGATGAATGAATGAATTTCTGCTAGGTCCCTCGTGGAGCTTTCAAAGGCAGCTGACTCGTTCTGCCTGTTCCCCTTCCCCTCTGCCCCATGTGCCCCCACAGAAGTTCCAGATGCTTCTCAGTCCACCTCCCTTTGTGCCTGGGAAGGCTGCCCGTCAGAGAAGGGCCCCACAGCCCCATCAAATGAGGCACAGTTCTTGGGACATCCCTTTTGCTCTTCCACTCCAAACCTTTGCAAGGGCTATTTTCCCTCCCTGAAATGCTCTCCTTCCTCCTCTCTGCCCAGCCAAAATGCTCCCCAGCTACAGTGTCACCTCCCTAGGCTTGCTGCCTTTCTTCTCAGAGCCACTGCCCCAGAGGGCCTCCTTAATGAGGTCAGGCATGGTGAGTGCGCTGCACCAACAATTCTGGATACCAAGCCAACATGGTATCCAATCAGCAGTCTCCACAGGCCGCCTCCCAGTGTGCGTCTATGTGTGTCCGTCTGTGCATCTGTTGGTGTGTTTGTGTCTGTGCTTAAGTGTGTCTTTGTATGTGTAAGACTTTGCTTATATGTCTGTTCATGTGTGAGTGTGTTTCTTGGATTGTCTGACTGTGTCTGTGTGTGCGCTAGTGTGTGACTGTGTTTCTGTATTACGTGTGTGTGTTGCTGCATCTTGTGTCTTTGTGTCTGTGTGTAACAGGGGTCCTTGGTTGGGGCCTGCAGGCCTGCACCTCGTTTGAGGCTGAGCAGAGCCAGGAGGGATTGGAGTGTGTGTCTGCTGTGCATGTCCTGGGGTCTGCAGGGTCTGGCCCCTCACACTCATGCCTGCCCCTTTTTTCTTTTTCCCTTCCACCTGGTTTCCCTGTCCCCAACTCCAGCTCCAAAGATGGGCTCGTCTCTGAGGGCCACGGCAGCAGGCTCTGAGCAGGGGTGAAGACTCATGGGGGGCGTATCCCCTGTCCTCAGTGCCAGCGCCCTCCAAACCTTCCTGTTTGGAAGCTCCCTCCTTCCCCCACCCCCACATTTCGGCCCCCCTCAGTCTGATGAGGGAGTCACAGACCCCACCCTTGGGCCGCATCCAGTCTGACATGAGAGAAGGATAGCAAATAGCCCCAGTGAGCCCACATTCCACACTAGAGGAAGCTCGATTCAATTGTCCAGGTGGGCATGGATGAGGGTCCTCAGAGTCCCTGCCCTCTACCTCTCTGTGCCCTCCCGTCTCCCTCCTGCTCCTCTCCAGCATGGTTGTGGGCCCACCCACTGACCTCACCAGCTTCCTGCATCTCCCTGGGTGGGGTAGCACGAGGAAGAATCAGCCTCTGAGTAGGTCCTCCCCAGGAGCAGCCTCTCCCCAGGCCCGCTGTTTTCCTCTGGACTGTGGTCAGGGATTTCCCCTCTCATGAGATGCCCTTCCTCTCAGCCCTGCCCCCAGTCCATCTCTATCTGCAACCAGAGGTGACTTTCAAAGGCACAACTCTGGGGCCATCCCATCACCACTCCTATACTCTCCGTGGCTCCCCATGACCCAGAGAAGAGCCAAGGCGTGGACTGCCCTTGGCTGACCTCCCAAACTCTTTTTCCAGCCCCTAGCCTCCAACCCCATGTCCAGCCCCTTGGGCACGTCCTGCCTTCTGTGCTTCTGAACCTTCCACCTAGGCCAGCCCCAGCCCTGAGCTGCTTGTCCACATCCATCCCTACCTCAGGCGGTTGGGGAGAAAGGGGTCCCTTAGACCCTTGTGTGGGTGCTGTGTCTGCTTGGGGAGTCCCCTGGCCCCAGGTCCCCTCCATGGGGATTTCAAGACTTCCTGGGTTTGGAAGGCAGGAGCAGGGCCCTCTTTCCAAGTACCCACAGCTTGGCCCGATGTGGCAGACCAGCAGGCAGTTTTAGGGCAGAGGGTGAAGTTTGTTTCTAAGACATGTCATCCCCCACCTCAGCCTGTTAGCACTGAGGGGCTGTGGAGAGAACTTTGCATGTCCCCCCCTTGCCCCCGGACTCCTGCCCAAGCCTGGCTGCTTGTTCTCCAGAGCTTAGCACACATGCATGTGCGCACACACACACATTCGCACACACATGCATGCACACACATGCACACACACTTGCATGCACACACATGCATGCACCCACACACTCATGCACACACAATGGAGAGGGCATGTGCCTCCACCACCTGCCTCAGGAGGGACGGGAGGGTGGGCGAGGTTTTCTTCACCAGTGGGCCTTGTTGACTGAACCTCAGGTGTGCTGGTGCCCCACTGGGTCCCCTACCCTGACACTTCAGTTACCCTCACCACAACCATGGTGGGGAAGGACTCTTCACCCTCTTTCTACAGATGAGAAAGCTGAAGCTTAGAGAGAACAGGTCACTGCCCCATGCAGACCCCGTGGGCCGGTGCTCTTGCCTGTGCCACAGCTCAGGAGGCTGGGCCAGAAGCATGGTACCTGAGCACCCAGGGGTGGCTCCCAGCTGGTCACCCGGGCCCACCTGCTTATTCATGGGGATAGGAGGTGGGCAGCTCCTGGGCCACCCCTGTCTCTAGTGTCCCTCTACCCCAGTGCTGAGGGGTGAGCTTCCTTCCAGGAATTCCTCTGCCTGCCCCACCCAGCTGAACTTCCTCCAGGTGGCCAATTGCCTCAGGCTGCATCATCTTCCTCCCTGGAAATGGGACTGTGAGAGGCTGAGCTGCTCCCAGTTGCCTGCAGGAGCCTGGTGGCCCAGGGTTCAAGGCTCAGCCTTGGTGGCTCCCTGCTGTTGCTGCTCTGTCAACAGCTGGTTCCTCCTCCTTCATAAAAAGAAAGCCTTGAGGTCCCACCTTCCTGCTGAACCTCCCCAATACCCTGTCCCAAATGGCACCCAAAGCCAGGTCCAGCCAGGATTGGACCTACCTCCCACACCTCTGTACTGACCCCCCCACTTTTGGCTTCGTCTCCCAGTGTGATGTGAGGGTTCCCAGCAGACAGGTGGAGACTTCTTGGAGGAGGTGGCTCTGGATCTGAGCCTGAGGGGTGGCTGAGAGTATACCACATGGAGGAGCGGGAAGGGCACTCCTGGTGGAGGAGATGGTACAGACAAAAGTGCAAAGGGTGGCACGGGCAGGAGGCAGAGTGGAGCCGATGTGCTTGGTGGCCAGCCGGTTGAAGGGCTGGGTGACTTTGCCCCTGGTGCTTTCAGTAGAGACCTGCCCTTGTGTCCTACTCTGCTGACATTCTGTCCCCTTGGACAAGAACTCTCAGCTGCATTTGCTCCACCTGGACATCTTCTGTTTGGGGTTTTCAGTGTTTCCTCCAGACCAGCTGGAAATTCAGCTTCCTTGTACAATTCTCTCTGCTCACCCTTGACTGAGCTTGGGTGAGACCTCCCCTTGCCAGTGAGCCCACCCCACAGAATTGCCCCTCTGCTAGGGTATGGGGTACAGAAAAGGAACAAGACTAAGGGAAAGGAAATGTTAGGGGGAGATGCTCTTTTTATTTCAGCCACATCAAGCATGAGGAGGTTGTGGGGCTGCAGTGTAGCCAATGCTGGTTATCCTCCCCCAACCCAGTCTATTCTCATTTTCCTAAGAACAGAGCGCTCTCTTTTTAGTCATGCATACGGTAACCCAGCAGAAACAGTATATTTCCCAGCCTTTCTTGCTTCTAGGTGTTGCCACGTGACTAAGCCTGGCTAATGAGATATAAACGGAATTGTTATTTAGCATCTTCCAGGAACCTTCCTTGAAACAGCTGGAGGGCGCCTGTGGTTCCTCCTTCCTCAGCCTGTTCTTCTCCATTCTGTTGCCTGGAATGTCAGTGGGAGGACTGGTCCTTCAGTCACCACTTTGGACAGTGTGGTTGAGGGACACACCCTGGAGATAGCAGAGGGGCAGCCTGCAAGGAGGCGGAGCCCCCCAGCAGTATCCCTATTCCAGCCTAGGGCTGTGTACTTCCAGACTTTTCAGCACAAGAAAAAGAAAGTCTTTTGTTTAGGACTCTGAATTTTCAGTCTCTGTTAGTCACAGCAGAATATAATCCTATCTGATTCGATCCCACAGAGAAAATGTTGACTAGGCAATTAGTAGATGGGTCTGGAGCTCAGAGTGGAGTTTGGGATTGCGGGTAGAAATTTGGCAGTCGATCTCCTGGAGGTGGAAATTGAAGACACGAGGACGATGAGCTCACCCAGGCGGAGCGTGTGGTGTGAAAGAGAAGGGAAGGGAAGAGAGGGAAAGAGATGAGCCTGCTTCCCTCTGCCCACTGCCCCCATCTTTCCACAAAAGAGGATTCTGGCTTTGTGTGCTCAATTTCATCCACCCCCTTCCAATATCATAAGAGGAGGCTTCTGCCTCCCCAGAACTCTGCTTGGTTTTTATGATGCAGAATCAAAATGGAGTGGGTTTGAGGGGAGGACAAGAAGTGGATAGATAGGTTGGGGGAAGGTTTTTTTGAGTTTTTAAGGAGAAAACGGTAAAAGCAGCTATGGTGTGTGGTAAAGCAGATAGGAGAAGAAAAGGAAGGGGCTTGAGAATGTGTTGCCATTTAGTATGAGTATCCTTTTGACAGTATGTCAGAAAACATGCAAGCCAGGCAGGGTGCAGTGGCTCACGCCTGTAATCCCAGCACTTTGGGATGCCGAGTCAGGTGGATCACAAGGTCAGGAGATCGAGACCATCCTGGCCAACATGGTGAAACCCCGTCTCTACTAAAAATACAAAAATTAGCTGGGCATGGTGGTGTGCGCCTGTATTCCCAGCTACTCAGGAGGCGGAGGCAGGAGAATTGCTTGAGCCCAGGAGGCAGAGGTTGCAGTGAGCCAAGATCGCGCCACTGCACTCCAGCCTGGGTGGCAGAGCAAGACTCCGTCTCAAAAAAAAAGAAAAGAAAACACACAAGCCAGATGTCGTGGCACACACCTGTAGTCCCAGCTAGGAAGGAGGCTGAGGTGGAAGGATCGCCTGAGCCCAGGAGGTTGAGGCTACAGTGAGCTGTGACTGTGCCACTGCACTCCAGCCTGGGTGACATAGGGAGGCTCTGACTCTAAAATAAATTAATTAAATAGAAAAAAAAGAAAAGAAAAGAAAACACACAGAACTTGACATTTGTTGCAGCTGTCTTTTTTTTTTTTTTTTTTTGAGACAGAGTTTTGCTCTTTCACCCAGGCTGGAGTGAAGTGGCATGATCCCGGCTCACTGCCACCTCTGCCCCCTGGGTTCAAGCAATTCTCCTGCCTCAACCTCCCAAGTAGCTGGGATTATAGGCGCTCGCCACCACACCCGGCTAATTTTTATATTTTTAGTGGAGAGGGGGTTTCGCCATGTTGGCCATGCTGGTCTCGAACTCCTGACCTCAGGTGATCCACCCACCTCGGCCTCCCAAAATGCTAGGATTACAGGCATGAGCCACTGTGCTTGGCTGCAGCTGTCTTTTGGCTGCTGTCTTCTCATAACACCACTCTGAGACAGGTCCACTTGGTTAATGATGTTAGTTAAATGTTCCACAAGTAACAAAAACTCATTAGAGCACATGAAGGAAAGGAGAAGTTGATGTCAAGGATCCAGGGTTTGTATGTAGGGGCAGGTGGGGACATCTGGGCTTCCTGAGGGCTGGGAACAGGGAATTGAACATATGCCAGGAGCCTGGGAGCTGCCACCATGACCACTTTCCTCTCCCTGTTGTTCATGGACTCTCCTCTGTCCTGCTCTCCTGCTAACTTCATCTTCTCTTGCTGCAGATTGCCTTTTAAAATTTTATTGTATTTTTATTTATTTATTTTAGAGACAGAGTCTCACTCTGTCACCCAGGCTGGAGTGCAGTGGCACCATCATAGCACACTACAGCCTCGAACTCCTGGGCTCAAGAGATACACCCTGCTCAGCCTTCTCCCATGGTGCTGGGATTACAGGCGTGAGCCACTGCCCCAGCCAGACTGCCTTTTAAAAATGGACATTTTAGACCAGGCATGTGGTTCAACCCTGTAATCCCAGCACTTTGAAAGGCTGAGGCGGGCGGATCACCTGAGGTCAGGAGTTCTTGACCAGCCTGGCCAACATGGCGAAACCCCATCTCTACTAAAAATACAAACATTAGCCAGGCGTGGTGGCGCATGCCTGTAGTCCCAGCTACTTGGGAGGCTGAGGTGGGAGAATTGATTGAACCTGGGAGGTAGAGGCAGGAGAATCGCTTGAACTAAGGAGGCAGAGGTTGCAGTGAGCAGAGATTGTGCCACTGCACTCCAGCCTGGGTGACAGAGCAAGATTCCCTCTCAAAAAAAAAAAAAAAATTGACTTTTTATTTTATTTTTATTGTTTTCTAAGAGACTTTATTTAAAAAAAAAGTTTTAGATTTATAAAATTATTGAGCTGTAGTACAGAGTTCCCATGTATCCCCTCCCTCACACGCAGTTTCCCCATTATTAACATCTTGGATTAGTGTGGTACATTGTTAAAATTAATGAACTAATATCAATACATTGTTGACTAAAGCACATAGTTTACATTAAGAATCACTCTTTGTGTTGTACTTTCTATGGGTTTTGACAAAAGCATATCATGGATCCACCATTATAGTATCATATAGAATAATATCACTGACCTAAAATTCCCGTGCTCCACCTATTCATCCTTTCCTGTCCCCAGAACCCCCGGCAACCCTTGATCTTTTTACTGTCTGTAGTTTTGCCTTTTCCAGAAAGTCAAATAGTTGAAATCACACAGCACGTAGCCTTTTCAGACTGGCTTCTTTCATTTAGTAATATGGATATTACTTTTTGTGGCTTGACACGTCTTTTTTTATTGCTTAATGCATATTAATATTACTAAATGCATATTTAGTATGCATATTACTTTTTGTGGTTTGCTAAGTCTTCTTTTTATTACTTAATGATACTCCATTGCACAGATATACCACAGTTTGTTTATCCTTTCACCCATTGGAGAGCTTCTTAGTTGCTTCCAGTTTTTGGCAATTATGAATAAAGCAGCTATAAACATTCTTGCGCAGGGTTTTGTATGGATATAAGGTTTCTCTCTCTCTTTTCTTTTCCTTTTTTATTTCTTTCCTTTCTTTCTTTCTTCCTTCCTTCCTCCCTTCCTTCCCTCCCTTCCTTCCCTTCCTTCCTTCTTTTCTTTTCGTTTCTTTTCTCCTTCCTTCCTTCCTTCCTCTCTCTCTCTCTCTCTCTCTCTTTCTTTCTCTTACTCTGTTGCCCACGCTGGAGTGCAGAGGCATAATCGTGGCTCACTGCAACCTCAAACTCCTGGGGCTCAAGTGATCCTCAGCCTCAGCCTCCCCAGTAGCTGACACTACAAGTGTGTGCCACCACATGTGACTAATTAAAAAAATTTTTTTTTGTAGAGACAGAGTATCACTGTGTTGCCAGGACTGGTCTGGAACTCCTGGCCTTGGCTGAGCACAGTAGCTCACACCTGTAATCCCAGCACTTTGGGAGACCGAGGCAGGCAGGTCACTTGAGGTCAGGAGTTCAAGACCAGTCTAGCTGACATGGTGAAACCCTGTCTCTACTAAAAATATAAAAATTAGCTGGGCATGGTGGCGTGCACCTGTAATCCCAGCAGCTACTCAGAGGCCGAGACAGGAGAATCGCTTGAAGCCGGGAGGCAGAGATTGCAGTGAGATGAGATCACTCCACTGCACTCCAGCCTGGGTGACAGAGCGAAACTCTGTCTCAAAAGAAAATAAATAAATAAATAAATAAAAAGAAAGAACTCCTGGCCTCAAGCAATCCTTCCTCTTTGGCCTCCCAAAGTGATGGGATTACAGGTGTGAGCCACTGTGCTCGGCCCTGGATATAAGTTTTCACCTCAATTGGGTAACTATCTAGGAGTGTAATTGTTAGATTGTATGGTAAGACTATGTTTAGTTTTGTAAGAAACTGCCAAACTGTCTTAAAAATGGCCATACCATTTTACATTTCCACCAGCAACGAATGAGAGTCCTGTCACTCCACATCCTCACCAGCATTTGGTGTTTTTAGCATTCTGGATTTTGACCATTTTAATAGGGGTTTAGTGGTACCTTGTTGCTTCAATTTGTAATTCCTTAATGACATCAGGTTAAGCATATTTTCATATGCTTATCTTCCATCTGTATATCTTCTTTGATGAGGTGTCTGTTCACATCTTTTGCCCATTTTTTTTTTTTGAGACGGAGTCTCACTGTGTTGCCCAGGCTGGAGTGCAGTGGCGCGATCTTAGCTCATTGCAACCTCCCTGGTTCAAGCTATTTTCCTGCCGCAGACACCCAAGTAGCTGGGACCACAGATGCACGTCACCACGGTCGGCTAATTTTTGTATTTTCAGTAGAGACGGTTTCACTATGTTGGCCAGGCTAGTTGAGAACTCCTGACCTAAGGTGATCTGCCCTGCTCGGCCTCCCAAAGTGCTGGCATTACAGATGTGAGCCACCGCCACCATGCCTGGCCCGTTTGTCCATTTTTTAATGGGGTTGTTTGATTTCTTAGTGTTGGGTTTTAAGAGTTCTTTGTGTATTTTGGGTCATCAGATATTTGTTTTGCAAATATATTCTCCCAATCTGTGGCTTGTTTTCTTATTCTTTTAACAATTGCTTTTTTGTTGTTGTTGTTGAGACAGAGTCCCACTCTTTCGCCCAGGCTGGAGTGCAGTGGTGCAATCTCGGCTCACTGCAACCTCTGACTCCCAGGTTCAAGCAATTCTCATCCCTCAGCCTCCCAAGCAGCTGGGATTACAGGTGCACACCACCACGCCCAGCTGATTTTTGTATTTTTAGTAGAGACGGTATTTCACCATGTTGGCCAGGCTGGTCTCGAACTCCTGACCTCAAGTCATCTGCCTGCCTTGGCCTCCCAAAGTGTTGGGATTACAGGTATGAGCCACTGCACCAGGCCAACAAATACTTATTTATTTATTTATTTATTTATTTATTCTCCATGTATACGACCGTTCCACATCTCGTGAATTTAGTTGCCCAATTCCAGCTACCAGCAGATTTCAAATATAGCTAACCCTTGAACAACATGGGGGTTGGGGGCACTAATCCTCCTCATCATCAAAAATCTGTGTATAACTTTTGACTCAAATACTTAATTACTAATAGCCTTCTGTTGACTGGAAGCCCTACTAATAATATAAACAGCCAATTAACATATATATTTATGCATTCCTGACCTACCTAACTCTGTTTCAGTTTTTTTTTTTTTGATATTTCTAGCTATGTGGTTTGTGAGTTTTTTCAAATTGTCACATCTCTCCAAAATTTTTTTCAATATGTTTATTTTTTTAAAAATCTGTGTATAAGCAGACTAGCACAGTTCAAACCCATGTTGTTTAAGGGTCAGCTGTAGTGTCTCTTAGTCCCAATTCTAATATTTTTAGAAGAGACAATTATTGACCAGTTTGGTGAAGTGGAGAATCAATGATGGCTGAATGAGGTGGTAGCATTAAGGTAGCTGGAAGGGAATCTGGGTGATATAAATTTAGTTTTCTAGCCTCTGCAGTACAGGAAGACGAACTGGAAGGAGGCAGGAATGATTGCTCAACCCTCCATATAAACACAGCAGTTGATGCCTGGTGGATGGTTGGGGGCTGTGGATATGACGTAGTACATGTAGGTTAAAAAAAAAGTTCAACATATACAGAGAGATGAAACAAAATGCAAAATTTTCTACCCCGCAGTTCCACTCTTCCGCCCTCTTTTCATTTTTATATATTCTGGAGTTTTCTTCTTCTTCTTCTTTTTTTTTTTTTTTTTTTGAGAGAGGGTCTCACTCTCATTACCCAGGCTGGAGTACAGTAGTGAGATCCTGAATAACTGGGACTACAGGTGTGCACCACCATGCTTTGCTAATTTTTTGTATTTTTTTTTTTTTTAGTAGAGATAGGGCTTCATCATGTTGCCTAGGCTGGTCTCAAACTCCTGGGCTTAAGTGATCTGCCCACCTCGGCCTCCCAAAGTGCCAGGATTACAGGTATGAGCCACCGCGCCCAGCCTTTTCTGGAGTTTGAACATCACTCCTCTAAACAATATACTTTATCTTTGTTTCTCAATTTAGTAACTCAAGAGAGCATCTACTGACACCTCATCATTAAAGCAGGGAATGGAAATCACCCATTCCCATCTCCCCGCCCATGTCTGTTTTCTCAGTTTTGTTTGCTGTGTGATTACTGGAGTCCTGTGTTGGTGCTACTTATAGTTCTAAACAATCTATATTTAAAATTTCGTTCCTCATACATCAATTTTAGAAAGAATTTCTTGAGCCCTATCACTATGTAAGAAAAATTGTGCCTCCCCCAGCCCCAGGTCACCTGCCATCTCCCTCTAATTTCTGCTGTCTACTTTTCTTTTCTTTTCTTTTCTTTTTTTTGAGATGGAGTCTTGCTCTGTTGACCAGGCTGTAGTGCCGCGGCGTGATCTTGGCTCACCACAAACTCCGCCTCCTGGGTTCAAGTGATTCTCCTGCCTCAGCCTCCCATGTAGCTGGGACTACAGGTGCGTGCCACCATGCCTAGCTAATGTTTGTATTTTTAGTAGAGATGGGGTTTCACTATGTTGGCCAAGCTGGTCTCAAACTCCTGACCTTGTGATCCACCCGCCTCGGCCTCCGAAAGTGCTAGGATTACAGGCGTGAGCCACTGCGCCTGGGCTCTTTTTTACATTTTCATGGTCAAAGTTTGTAACATTTGCATGCTGTTCGGTAATTATAATGAAATCTTCCATGCTTTATCTTCAGGTTGATTCTGAAAATTGAAAACCAACGGATGTTATGATTGTATAAACGTCATTTACTGCAGAACCACGTAACCAGATAGCTCCTTTGAGAAGGAAACATAGTATCATTTCCTCTACCCTAAAGTGCCTTGATGGAGAATATTTGCTGTTTCAGATGTCAAGGTCAAATGGATTCTCTTTTCTTACACCCCACTAATTGTTCAAAATCATGCTTCAGATGTGTTTTCTTTCTATTTGGTCCTGGAATAGATTTTGTCGTTTCTGGTTCTCCAATTGCCTTTCTTACTTCTTTCTGAGAGAAGAAACAGATGTTGTCTTTGTTATGTCAACCAGAAAGACTACTTGCTGTGCCCACCTTCCTGTGCCTGGATTCTTTGCAGGTGCAGTGAGATGAAGTAGTTGTTGTGTTTATCCAGCATTCCTTCTCTCCTGTCTTTCGGGGAACTGCAGCTCTTTCAGTTCAATGATGTGACTTGGGTTTTTTCCCCATTTTCAGTGGGTGGGCTTGTCACCAAGGTCTGGCAGTTTCCCTTGATGGTAGCTCATCCGAGGGCTGGACACACAACTGAGGCAAGGATAATTGGAGTCCTTCTATGGAATTTGATCAGTGGCTATTAACAGTGAGAAGCACTCATCCCTTTAGCTTCAGGTAAGGCTTGATCCAGGGACTCAATGATGTCCACAAGGACCCAGGGTCAGTATATATCTTTCATCTGCCCTCAGTGTTGTCTTTACCTGCTGGCTCCTCATAATGAACTGTGAGCAGCAACATGCTTCTCTCGTGCAGTAAATGGAAGAGGTGTCAATTCCACCAACCCACAGGGCTTGAGAATACAGCAGGAAAATCAGGGTATTTTTACCCAAAGAAGAGTGAACTAATTTTGGAAACCAAAACCACAGATGTTCACACCCTTTTCTATTGAATTTCTTTTTATTTCAGCAATTCTATTTTAAATTTCCAAGAATTATTTTTTGCTTTCTTTTCATAGCTGCTTTTTTTTTGTTTTATGAACATATTGGCACTAGAATCTTTCTTTTCATAAGTTTTCTTGTATTCCTTGAATTATCTGTTCCCTCCGGGATTGGTTTGTTCACTTTTTGTTTAGTTTATTAAAGAGGAAGTATTGGTCAGGCACGGTGGCTCACACCTGTAATTCTAGTACTTTGGGAGGGCAAGGTGGGTGGATTGCTTAAGCCCAGGAGTTAGAGACCAGTCTAGGCAATATAGTGAGACCCCCATCTCTATATAATTTTTTTTTTTCGATTAGCTGGACATGATAGTGGGTGCCTATGGTCCCAGCTACTTGGGAGGCTGAGGTGGGAGGATCGCTTGAGCCTGGGAGGTCGAAGCTGCAGTGAACCATGATTGCACCATTGCACTCCAGCCTGGGTGACAGAGCGAGACCCTGTCTCCTTGTTGTCCAGGCTGGTCTCGAACTGCTGGCCTCAAGTGATCTGTTCCCCTCAGCCTCCCAAAGTGGTGGGATTACAGGCGTAAGCCACCATGCCCGGCTGACCCCATCTCAATAAATAAGTAAGTAAGTAAATAAATAAATAAATAAATAGGCAGTATGGCTGAGTAGTTCAGAGTCCAACTCAGGAAACAGGTTGCCTGGGTTCAAGTTTCATTTCTCTGCCACTTACCAGCCATGTAAACCTCGGTCAAGGTTATTTTACTGTACCATTCTGTGACTCAGTTTCCTGTAAGTGGAGATAACAATAGCATCTAGCTCAGAGGGTTGCTAAATGAGTTAATAAGTATAAAATTGTCAGAACACTGGATGGGTGTGGTGGCTCATGCCTGTAATCCTGGCACTTTGGGAGGCTGAGGCGGGTGGATCACCTGAGGTCAGGAGTTTGATACTAGACTGGCCAACATGGTGAAACCATGTTGTAACCCGGTCTCTACTAAAAATACAAAAATTAGCCGGGTGTGGTGGGATGTGCCTATAATACCAGGTACTCGGGAGTCTGAAGCAGGAGAATCGCTTGAACCCAGGAGGCAGAGGTTGCAGTGAGCTGAGATTGAGCCACTGCACTCCAGCCTGGGTGACAGAAAAATACTCCATCTCCAAAAAAAAAAAAAAAAAAAAAAGTTGTCATAATACTGCCAGGCCCACAGTAACGGTGCAATAGCTCTTTGTTCTTTGCTGTAGGTTTTTATTTATTTATTTATTTATTTATTTATTTATTTTTTATTTTTTGAGATGGAGTCTCACTCTGTCACCCAGGCTGGAGTGCAGTGGCATGATCTCCGCTCTCTGCAACCTCTACCTCTAGGGTTCAAGCAGGAGGGCAGGGCTTCATCTCCCCCTACTTCTTAGCACTGGGGCCCCAGGATTTACTCGGGCACATCACCTGTTAGAATAAAGACATGAGACCATGTGACTAACCTCTAGCCAGTGGAATATAAGCAGCAATGTAGTGTGCAATTTAAAGAATTACCTTTTTTGTTGTTGTTAAGAGACAAGATCTCACTCTGTCACTCAGGCTGGAATGTAGTGACATAATCATAGTTCAATGCAGCCTCGAGCTCCTGGGTTCAAGTGAACCTCCTACTTCAGCCTCCCAGCTACTCGGGAGGCTGAGGCAGGAGAACCCCACCACACCCAGCTAATTTTTGTATTTTTAGTAGAGACAGGGTTTCACCATGTTGGCAAGGCTGGTCTTGAACTCCTGACCTCAGGTGATCCACCCATCTTGGCCTCCCAGAGTGCTGGGATTACAGGCGTGAGCCAATGCGCCTGGCCTGTTTGTTTCTGGATCTTTCTCTTTGTGTTGGTCTTCCTCACCTGTCTGGTAATACCTGGTAACCAATTCATCTTTATGAACAAAGGGCAGGTTGATTGATACTGGAACTCACCTAGGGTATTTCCTCTGCCCTGCAGTGTTACATGTGGGGGTGGAGAGGTACGTGTGCCAGCTACCAACCCTTTGGGGTGTATTGAGTCCCTGTAGAGAGTCCACTTCTGCTCCGGCCTCTGGGGCAGCTTTCTCTCAGCGTGCTTTGGCTCTGGTTTCCTTTACCCGCATCTGTTCCTGAACGTGATCCTCCCTCTTTCTATCTTCTAGAATTAAATCAAAATCCTGTGCAGTGGATACTTCCCATCCCCCAGCCATCCTGTTCCCAGCCCTTCTGTCTCCTTTTCCCTTTGCTTACTGTGCTCTCAGTGGTATTGGATGGGCCAGGAATGGCAGAGACAAGTTCTCAGTCCACCATCTTGAACTAGATGTTGGTGTGGTGGTTTAAATATGTGTGCGTGTGCGTGTGTGTGTTTAGATGGAGTCTTGCTCTGTCACCCAGGCTGGAGTGCACTGGCACAATCTTGGCTCACTGTGACCGCCACCTCCTGGGTTCAAGTGATTTTCCTGCCTCAGCCTCCTGAGTAGCTGGGATTACAGATGCCTGGCTAATTTTTGTATTTTTAGTAGAGATGGGGTTTCACCATGTTGGCCAGGCTGGTCTCAAACTTCTGACCTCAGGTTATCCGCCCACCTCAGCCTCCCAAAGTGCTGGGATTACAGGCATAAGCTTCCGTGCCCAGACTAAATATTCTTTTTTTTTTTTTTTGAGACAGAGTCTGTCTCTGTGGCCCAGGCTGGAGTGCAGCGGCGCGATCTCGGCTCACTGCAAGCTCCGCCTCCCGGGTTCACGCCATTCTCCTGCCTCAGCCTCCCGAGTAGCTGGGACTACAGGCGTGAGCCACCGCGCCCAGCCGGCTAAATGTTCTTAACTCCATCTGACTCTGTACAGACGGTGTCCTTTGGGGACTGCATGTGTTCCACTGTATGCCCAGACCCTGAGCAGGGAATAAAACGGGAGGACATGTACATGGGTCTTTTAACTTTCTTGTAACGGGCATCCTTGGGCTTGTTGACTTTCCCTGGAAGTCTCTGGCTTCAGAGCCGGTCCCTTAGTGGGTCATTCCACCTAGACCTTGTGGTTGTGTTGAGGAGGGAGGTCCCTTCAGTGTCTCTGAAAACCCCAGAGCCTTGAAACACTCAGGGACAGAAGTGGGTGAGTACAAGATGCATGAACAGGAGAGGAGAGCCAGAGGGACAGATGACAGACTGGGTGAGGTGACTGAATGAGTGAGGGTCCAGGGTGTGGCTATGAGAGTAGAGGTCACCTCGGGTGGAGGAGAGAGGAGAGTACGGCCTTCAGATACCCAATAAGAGAAGCAACAGCAGAGCCAACATTCTCAGAGCTCTTTTGATGTTCCAGGCCCTGGGAACTCTTCATACAAGCTTTCCAGAGGACTCTAGCTTCTGAGTCATTGAGTGACTCCTGGGATCGTAGAGCAGGTGATGGATATGCCTGGATTTGAACCCAGCTCTATGCAGGACCTAGGCTTTTAGCCAGTGAGCTACATGACTCCCATCTGCCCCAAGCTGACTACAGTATGGGTCTCAAAGATCTCCCTTGGGCCTCTATAGACTGAGTTGTCCCCACCTGAGACACAGCAAGTGGGTCTGAAGGCTGAGGAAGCAGAGGGCTCTGGCACCCTCTGGGGGAGGCAGGAGGCTCTGCAGAGATACTGGCAAGGAGGTGGGCAGGGGCCTGAGGCTGGAATCTGGGTAGGTCCAAGGAATGAATGACTGAATTAAGGTCCTGGTTGCTCCACAGGAGGGCAGGGCTTCATCTCCCTCTACTTCTTAGCACTGGGCCCCCAGGATTCACTCGGGCACATCACCTGTTAGAATAAAGACTTAAGACCATGTGACTAACTTCTAGCTTCTAGTGGAATATAAGCAGCAATAAAGTGTACAATTTAAAGAATTACCTTTTTTGTTGTTGTTAAGAGACAAGATCTCACTCTGTCACTCAGGCTGGAATGCAGTGACACAATTATAGTTCACTGCAGCCTCAAGCTCCTGGGTTCAAGTGAACCTCCTGCTTCAGCCTCCTGAGTGGCTGGTATTGCAGGAGTGACCCACCACATCAGCAATTTAAGGAGTTATCTTAAAGTAGAGGGCATGGCCTACTTTGTCCTTTCCTCCATCCTGCTTTCCCGAATGCAGATACAGTGGCTGGAGCGCAAGCAGCCACTTTGGACAATGACTGGAAGCAGCCCATTGACAATGACTGAGCCAAAAAATAAAAAGGGATCTAGTTTCATGATTGTGGAGTTGTCATATCATCTTGGATGCCAACACTTACTTGAGGGAGAGGGTGAAACACTTCTATTTTATTTAAAACACCGTTATTTGGTGTTTTCTATACTTGTAGCAAAACTTATTTTTTTTCAACCAAAAAGTTTTGTCTTTGGCAAATTCTCTAACCTCCCTATGACTTGGTTTTCCTATCTGGAACGAGAATAATTCACTGGGTATGGTGGCTCATACCTGTAATCCCAGCACTTTGGGAGGCCAAGGTGGGTGGATCACTTGACTGGGAACTCTCAGGAGTGTGAGACCAGCCTGGGCAACATGGTGAAGCCCCATCTCTACAAAAAAATACAAAAATTGGCTGCGTCTGGTGGTACTCACCTGTAGTCCCAGCAACTTGGGAGGCTGAGGCAGGAGGATCACTTGAGCCTAGGAGGTCAAAGTTGCAGTGAGCCGAGATTGTGCCATTGCACTCCAGCCTGTCCAGCCTGGGTGACAGTGAGACCCTATCTCCAAAAAAAAAAAAAAAAAAGAAAAAGAATAATTGTTATTAGATGAATGTGTAACAGTGTGACCTACTGAGAAATTACATTTTTTAAAATATTTTGAGGCAGAGTCTCGCTCTGTCATCCAGG
This sequence comes from Homo sapiens, assembly GCF_000001405.40. NCBI lineage: Eukaryota > Metazoa > Chordata > Mammalia > Primates > Hominidae > Homo > Homo sapiens. The sequence continues at coordinate 3,715,179 of NC_000020.11, read as the reverse complement.
CTGGAGTGCAGTAGTGTGATCTCGGCTCACTGCAATCTCCACCTCCCGGGTTCAATCGATTCTCGTGCCTCAGCCTCCTGAGTAGCTGAGACTACAGGCGCCTGCCACCAGGCCCAGCTAATTTTTGTATTTTTCGTAGAGACAGGGTTTCGCCACGTTGACCAGGCTGGTCTTGAACTCCTGGCCTCAAGCGATCTGCCCACCTCGGCCTCCTAAAGTGCTGAGATTACAGGCGTGAGCCACCGTGCCCAGCCTACCTAGTTATTTTTATTTATTTACCTAGTTTGCTGTATACTCAAGGAAATGACAGGAAGCAGTGCTCCCTGACTAATCAAGGTAGACAAGTCTTTGCTCTCCTCATGCTAAGGAAAGGTAAGCAAGTTCTGGGTGTGTTGTTCTGGGACTTAGGCCTTGTATCATCTTGCTAATGTAGCCACAAAATTCTCAGCAGCATCCAGCAATAAATTCACGCATCCACAGGTTGACTGGTCTGGTGGACGTAGGCTGGGCTCAGCTGAGTTTTGTTTCAATCCATGGGTCTGATTCAGGTCATCTGCATGTGTTCGTCATCCTCTTTGGACCAGCAGGTTAGTTGGAGCCTGCCCCTTGCATGGCAATGACAGAAATTCAGGGGGAAAGGCAAACTGCTTAAGTACGTTTCAAGACTTAGTTTGTGTCATGTCCGTGCACATCCATTGGCCAGAGCAAGTCATATGACTAAGGTCAAAGTCAAGGGATGCTTTCCCACCATGAAGCCAAGGGGTGGATGTATAGAGTCCCAGTGGACTGAAGGATTGGTACCCATGTGTCACAACCCCACAGGCCTAGAGCTGGGTGTCTCCGGACCAGCTGTTGAGGGAGGAAGTAATGGGATGAACCCTTTGTGTTTTGGCCGAAAGAGGAAATGGCCCAAGCATAGGAGTGGACACAGGAGCTATAAAGAGGAACAGAGTGATAGAGACCTAATATCTCTGTAGCCTGAGCATTTCAGGGTGGAATGTCACCAGACATCTGCTTTGGGGCACCATGGCCTGCGATTCTGGATCCACCCTGATTTAGGGTTTCACATCCTTTTACACCTGCACACGTGGCCTTGCCCTCAGGGTACAGGGGCCTAATTTGCTGTGGCCAGCTCCCCACCAGTACAGGTAGGCAGGGACTGAGTTGAATTAAGTTTGAGTTGTGAAATTAAAAAAAAAAATGGCCAGGAGTGGTGGCTTACGCCTGTAGTTCCAGCACTTTGGGAGGTCGAGGTGGGAGAGTCACTTGAGCCCAGGTGTTTGAGACCAGCCTGGGAACATAGGGAGACTCCGTCTCTACAAAATAACTTAAAAAATTAGCCGTGCATAGTGGCAAGCGCCTGTAATCCCGGCTTCTTAGGAGGCTGAAGCAGGAGGATTGCTTAAGCCTAGAATTTCGAAGCTGCAGTGAGCCAAAGTGAGCCAAGATTGCACCAGGACACCCCAGCCTGGGCGACAGAGCAAGACACTGTCTCAAAAAACAAAAACAAACAAACAAACAAAAACCAAAAAAAGTCTTGTTGCTTGTATCTGGGATTGCTTGGAGCAATTAACATCTGCTTCACATGTCAAGTGCCTGCACAAACTAGGCCCTCAATAAGATGGGCTGCAGTAATGTAACAGTAACTAGCTGTGGTGGGGGCTTTCCTTTCCTGTCCCAAGGTGGGGGTGAAGGTATAGGATAGTGGCCGGGTGCAGCGGCTCACCTCTGTAATCCCAGAACTTTGGGAGGCCGAGGCAGGCAGATTACTTGGGGTCAGGAGTTCAAGACCAACCTGGACAACATGGTGAAACCCCGTCTCTACCAAAAATACAAAAATTAGCCGGATGTGGTGGTGCATGCCTGTAATCCCAGCTACTCGAGAGGCTGAGGCAAGATGATCACTTGAACTCGGGAGGTGGAGGTTGCCGTGAGCTGAGATTGTGCCACCGCACTCCAGCCTGGACGACAGAGTGAGACTCCATCTCAAAAGCAAAAACAAAACAAAAAGAAAAAAACCAACAACAAGAAGCCAAAAACCAAAAAACGTACAGGACAGTGAGAGGGGAAAGAGAAAACCTGAGGAGTGTCCTGGACATTGGGGCCTTATGTCCCCCACAACACGGGACTGCCTCTTGGGGGTTCTTAAGAGTACTCAGTGGTACAGGGAGGCTCCTGAATGGCTTGGAGAATAACTGCCTTGGTCTGGGCATCGTGTAGTGCATCCCCACCCCAGGCTGGGCGCGCCTCCCTCTCAGGTGTCAGGGAGGAGAGCTGTGTGCAGGAAGCCCCCTTCCACCTCCCCCAGCCTCCCTAAGGGGCTCAGAGAGAGTGGGGTGTGGATTTGGCTGGTGAATGGGAGTCCCCCACTCCATTTCTCACTTTGCCTGGGGAGGCTCCAGCGTTGCAGCGGTCCCACTTCTGCTTGCTGGAGTCCCTAAGTCCCTGGCCTTGCCGAGGGCCTTCCCCTATGGAGGTCTTTCCCGTTTTGGCATTGCGCAAGGCCTGCAGCTGCCTCCCTGACCAGCCTCTGGGTTGGACAGTAGAGCTGAGGCTTTGGGAAAGAGGAAGCAGCCCCTGATACGGGATCCTTCTCTCTTGAGCCGGCAGAGCCCTGGGGAGCCAGCTGCACCAGGAGCTCTTGGCCGTCCTTCCTGTTCTCCTCTCCGCAGGTCCAGCACCGCCGCAGCCACTTCCTTCTGTGGAGCAGGTACCCCTGTCCCTGGTCCCTGGGCCCAGAGGGTGAGTGGAGCATTAGGAGCGGGGCTGGGCTGAAACTGGCTGAGCGGGATAGGGGCAGGGGTCGGGGGGGGGCTCCATCTGGGTGCGAGTGGTGGACCCCAAACCAACCCAAGTCCAAGACACTAATCAAAGATGGACTCAACTGAAACCCTTCCACCACCCCCAAATCCTTCCAACCTGCATCCCAATCCCAGTCCCGACCATCACCCTGCTCTGACCCTACCTCAGCCCCAGCCCCAGCCCCTATTCCAACCTTATCTCACCCTCACCTCACTTGCACCCCAACCCTAACCATTTACTCATCTCATCTAATCCCAACCATCCATCATCCCAACCCTAACCACAACTCCGACTCTATCATCCTCATCTCAACCCAGCCTCCACCGTATCTTAACCATCACCTGCACCCAACTCCAACCTTCACCCTTACCCCCACCCATCACTCAACCTCAATGTCCACCCCAATCCCAGCCTTAATTTGCTTCCAGAATTCCAACCTGATCATCACCCTGACCTCAGCCCCAGCCCAGCCCAACGATAATCTCTCCTTACTCTAACCCCAGCACAATTCCACTTCATCCATCACCACTTCGTCCGTCCACAGGAGGGCTTCTGGTGCTGTCCAGCACAGTTTGGAGAGTGAGCACTCCAGCCAGAAGCATTTAGAGCCAGATTAAGGAATGAAGTGTGAAATTTCTACTGCCCATGTCAAAGCCAATAAGCATTAGTTATGGATTCTATGGCTCTGAGAATTAAACATTTGGCCTGTGATTGGGGATTTCCACTATTTTGACCATAATCTGCTCCAGGAATTGCCCATCCGTACCCTGACTCCCTATCTGTGGGCCAGTAACCTCCAGCTGGCCATGTCACCCTGTGTTCTTCCTTCTCTAGCCCAATGGGGAAGTTGGGGAGAAGCCTTGGTGTCAGGAAACAGAAACTGAATCCTACACCCGGGCCTAGCTGTCCATAGGGAAACTGCCTCTGCCCTTTCTTCCCCAGCTAAACTTGGCCTCTGGAATCAGAGGTCAGGGACTTGGGGCCCCAGCCAACCCTCCAAGACCTCCTGAGGCACTTGGTCTCAAACAGGCAGCAAACGTGAGTGCCCACTGTGTACCAGGCCAGCTCAAGCCACCCTGATGCAACACATACCAATAGTAGGAGTGGGGATTTAAAATCCTGTCTTCAGAGCACCCAAGACTTGGAGACCCAAGTATGAACCTCAGGAACCTCCTGTCTGGGGAACAATGATTTCCAAAAGAGTCACCCAAGGGAGGGATGGTTCAGGGCTGCAGAGCTGCCTGCTCCCTGTTGCTGGCACACCGCCCCCTTTCCCGGGACCCGCAATTCCCCCTCGACCACCAGGGGGCGCTGCGTGCTCACTAGGCCACAGCTGCAACCCAAGTTGCGGGGGGCGGGGGGCGGGGCACTGTCCCCTCAACTCCAGGCTTTCAAACAGGGACAGAGATCTCCTTTCTGAGCGGTCCCTGCTCTTTCTGTTTCCAGAACAGTTATCTGGGCTGAAGCTGGCCTTTGTGGTGACAGGCTGAGCCAATAGGCTGGATTCCGGTGGGGCTGACCCCTTTGGGGTTAGGGCCGGGCTAAGCATAGGTGGCCTCTACATTATGTGATGGGAGTGGTCCTGGAAAGGGTCCTCCCCCGCGCCCTGTTCCAGGGTCGCTGTGTCCAGAACCCCACCATTCTTCCATCAGGTTCACGATTGCCCTTTTCAGGACCCCAAATGGGAGGAACAGGGGAGCTGGGACAAGATAGCTGCCCTGGCCATAGCAGAGCTGACCCTGACATCCCCTGTGGCCAGGGACACATCTGACCCCCAGTGTGCCCAGCAGGCTGCTTTTCTTCACGGTGAGGTGTCCAGGTCCCAGGGCCCCAGCTATATCATTCTCCAGTGGCCAAGAACCTGGTGTGGAGGCTGGGGGTGCATCTTCCCAGAAGAGGAGGAGGCCTAGGGCTTCCTAGAGAACTGGAGATGAGCCCTTGGGCCTCCATAAATGGCCAGATCAGTCCACTCCAGCAGCCTGCGAGAGGGCTGGGTCCCCTGGGGAGCGGTGTCCTTCCTGTCCCAATCCCGCCCTGTACTGTGCCCCCTGCTGGGGCACCTTCTGCCTTCTGCAGCAGGCTAAGTCCCACCTGGTCAGCCTGACTGGCCCTGGGCCTCGGCTCACCCCCTTCCCAGGTGTGACCCCTGGTAGTCATTGGAATCTGCTGAGCCCAGCCCCTGAGGCGGATGGGCTGGGAGCTGGGAGGTCATGAGTTTCCTGTCCCCACTTCCAGCCTCCTCGTTCACTTGGCCAAGTCAGCATTTAGGACCAGGGAGGATTGCAAAGTTGGCAACATGGGTGTGTATGTGGTGAAATATACATAATGTAAAATTTACTGTTTTAACTGTCTTTAAGTGTACACCCCATGACATTAGGTACATTTGCAATATTGTGTAACCATCACCACTATTTCCAGAACTTTTTCATTATCTGAGAGACTCAGCAATCATTAAACATTAGCTCCCCCTCCCTGCAGCCCCTGGTTACCTCTATCCTATTCTACTTTCAGTCTCTGAATATACGTAGTCTAGATATTTCATGTAATTGGAACCCTACAATATTTGCCCTTTTGTGTCTGGCTGGTTTCACTGAGCATAATGTTTTCAAGGTTCACATATGTTAGAATTCATTCCTCCTTATGGCCGATTGATATTCCATTGTATGTACATACCACAGTTTGTTTATCCACATCCATTCACTGATGGACACTTGACCTGTTTCCACCTTTTAGTGGAATAGTGCTGCCGTGAACATTGGTGTACTCTGTTAGAGTCCCTGTTTTCAGTACTTTTGGGTATATACCTAGGAGTGGAATTGCTGGATCATATGGTAATCCTATGTTGACTTTTTGAGGAATGACCCAATTGTTTTCCACAGTGACGGAACCATTTTATATTCCCACCAGCAATACACAAGAATTTCAACTTCGCATCCTCACCAATATTTATTGTTTTCTGTGTTGCTTTGTTTGTTTGTGAATAGCCATTCTAACGGATGTGAAGTGGTATCTCACTGTGGTTTGGTTTTGATTTGCATTTCCTAATGCCTAGTGATGTTGAGCATCTTTTCATGTCCTTATCAGCCAGTTATATATCTTCTTTGAAGAAATGTTTATTCAAGTGTTTTGCCCATTTTTGGAGTTGGATTTCATGGTTTTTTTGGTGGTTGTTGTTGTTCATTGTAGGAATTCTTTATATATTCTGGATATTAGTCCTTTATCAGATAAATGATTTACAAATATTTTCTCCCATTCTGTGGGTTGTCCTCCTTTTATTCACTCTCTGGATAGTGTCCTTTGATTCATATCCTTTTTTTTTTTTTTTTTTTTTGAGACAGAAGAGTCTCACTCTGTCACCAGGCTGGAGTACAGTGGCGTGATCCTGGCTCACCGTGACCTCCGCCTCCTGGGTTCAGGTGATTCTCCTGCCTCAGCCTCCCGAGTAGCTAGGACTAGAGGTGCACACCACCACACCCAGCTAATTTTGTATTTTTAGTAGAGACGGGGTTTCACCATGTTGGCCAGGATGGTCTCAATCTCTTGACCTTGTGATCTGCATGCCTCAGCCTCCCAAAGTGCTGGGATTACAGGCGTGAGCCACCGCACCCAGCTGTTGTTTGTTCTTTTCAGACAGGGTCTTGCTCTGTCACCCAGGCTGGAGTGCAGTGGTGCAATCATGGCTCACTGCAGCCTCGACCCCTCCCCTGGGCTCAAGCGATCTTCCCACCTCAGCCTCCAGAGTAGCTGGGACCACAGGCCTGTTTTTTAATTTTTCGTAGAGACAGAGTCTTGCAGTATTGCCCAGGCTCGTCTTGAACTCCTGGGCTAAAGTGATCCTCCTGCCTCAGCCTCCCAAAGTGTTGGGTTCACAGGCATGAGCCACTGTGTCTGGCCAAGTTTTAAATTTTGATGAAGTCCAACTTACCTATTTTTTTTTTTCGTGCTTTTAATTTCATACTTAAGAAAGCATTGCCTAATCCAAGGTCATGAAGATTTTCACCTGTTTTCTTCTAAGAGTTTTATAGTTTCACTTATATGTGTTTCTGGCATCTCTTCCTTTTGGGCTCAGGTCTATGGTACCCCTTAGACACTCCCTGACCAGGGGCACTCCATGGTTGAGGGCCTGCCTTTTTGGATATGGTACACTCCGCACACATTGAGCTCATATTTGTGGGGTATGTGTTCCACAGCGCTCTCATGCTACCTTTCAAACCTAGACTTGCCTTGCCACCTCCCCACTCCAACTCTGAACCTCAGCTCTGAACCCCTAAAGACCTCACCCCTCTCTTAGTCACTAAGGGGTTTGCTGAATGCCTGGTAGGCTCCGCACTGCTATGGGGCACATATCTTCAGTTCTAGGTCCTGAGAAATGGGCTCTCACAAGCTGTAAAAAACAAGGCAAGGAAAATAGAGATAGCTCTGGGGTAGCTACAGGAACCTCAAAGGAGAAGTTCCAGCTGGAAGCCAAATTCATGCTGCTCCTTGAAGGTTGAATAAGGTTTCAGCAGGCAAAGATTATCTGTGGTGGAGATAGAGCTGGGCAGCTAGGGAGCCCTTGAGCAGACAGAACTGCCCCCAGAGTGGGTCTGCGGAGAGCAGGGAATGGGGACAGAGCTGGGGGCAGGAAATGAGGACTTTTCACATCTCACGGGCAATGGGGAGCCACAGAAGGTTTTTGAGCAGGGGAGTGACTGTTAAAGGCAGCACTTCGGCAAGTTCAGTAAAGCCCCATTATGGTCTATAGTTAGTAAGGCAGGTGGTAGGAGACAAGCCTCAGGAAGAAACCATCATTCTAGCTGGGTGTCTTGGAGTGAGTAACTGGGCATCTCTGGGCTCCAGTTCCTGTTGGTTTGGGTGGTGGGGAGGGGGCAGGGAAGTGGGGAAGAGGGAGAAACAGCTGTTCATCTGCCTTAGGGTGGTATCCTTGAGGGGCTGGGAAAGCAGAACTTGGGATAGGGCCAAGGGACACACAGGCTTTTCTGAGGCAGGCCACCAAGTGAGGGCATTCCTGGGCACAGCCTGAGCTGGGAACGTGGCCTCCTGGCTCTCTGCTGGTGTCTGACTCAGAGGTCTTTAAGAGCCCTGCCCTCTTATTGGGTTGGCCAGCAGAGGAGGTGGGGACACAGGCTCGGACTTCTAGCAGGTGCTGGGGCTAAAGTGCCCAGAGGTGTCCCTGGAGGCCCCTGTGAGCCCAGCCAGCGCAGTGCGCACCACCCTCTTAGGCAACAGGAGCAGCACAAGAACCTGCTATGGGCTTCTTGCCCAAGCTTCTCCTCCTGGCCTCATTCTTCCCAGCAGGTAAGCTTTGCGGGCCTAGTGCCTGTCTTCCAGGGTCCAGCCTTCATAAGTCCAGCCCTTGGCAGATTAGACTATGCCTGGGTCACATGTTTGGTTGCTGAGGTCAAGGGAGGGCCCAATCGGGCAGTGGCCAGGAGCTGGGCAGGAAGCTGCCATCTGTCTTCGAGCCACCCTACCAAACCTCTGAGCAGCCTCGGGCAGTGGACTGACCCCTGGGGCACTGAGAAGGGCTGCTCTAAGTGTGCATTTCTCGGGGCAGGGCAGAATTTGGGAGCCCAGCTGGGGCACCTTCTCTGGGGCAGGTCGCAGGGCTCTGTGGCACCCTGAGGCCTGTATCACCCTCCCCTCTGTCCCCCTGCCGTTCTTCCCCCAGGCCAGGCCTCATGGGGCGTCTCCAGTCCCCAGGACGTGCAGGGTGTGAAGGGGTCTTGCCTGCTTATCCCCTGCATCTTCAGCTTCCCTGCCGACGTGGAGGTGCCCGACGGCATCACGGCCATCTGGTACTACGACTACTCGGGCCAGCGGCAGGTGGTGAGCCACTCGGCGGACCCCAAGCTGGTGGAGGCCCGCTTCCGCGGCCGCACCGAGTTCATGGGGAACCCCGAGCACAGGGTGTGCAACCTGCTGCTGAAGGACCTGCAGCCCGAGGACTCTGGTTCCTACAACTTCCGCTTCGAGATCAGTGAGGTCAACCGCTGGTCAGATGTGAAAGGCACCTTGGTCACAGTAACAGGTGATAAGTGGGGTGGCCTGGCTGCCCCCCGGGAGGGATTCCCAAGCTGCTTCTGGACCCCTTGGCTCTCAGCCCCAGCCCTTGTCCTGAATCTAACCCCAGCCAGTCTCAGCCTCTGTTCCAGCCCCGGCGTAGGCCCAGGCCTGGTTCTCCCTTGTATTCACCCAAGTGGGGCTGGAGTAGAAAGCGTCTTTCCTTCCCCTAAAAGCCCCCTCCCCAGGGCTCTCTCCTCAGCTGGGGTTTCCAGGGCGAGGGATCTCAGGGGTGGCAAAAGCGGGTCCTGAGCACTGCTGTCTCTGTCCTCAGAGGAGCCCAGGGTGCCCACCATTGCCTCCCCGGTGGAGCTTCTCGAGGGCACAGAGGTGGACTTCAACTGCTCCACTCCCTACGTATGCCTGCAGGAGCAGGTCAGACTGCAGTGGCAAGGCCAGGACCCTGCTCGCTCTGTCACCTTCAACAGCCAGAAGTTTGAGCCCACCGGCGTCGGCCACCTGGAGACCCTCCACATGGCCATGTCCTGGCAGGACCACGGCCGGATCCTGCGCTGCCAGCTCTCCGTGGCCAATCACAGGGCTCAGAGCGAGATTCACCTCCAAGTGAAGTGTGAGTTGTCTGGGGACACACCCTTGTGGCTGAGCGCATCTGTTGCTCCTGACAGAAACCAGCCCCTCTCCAGCCCACAGAAACGGAACCCTTGCTCCTGATGCAAAACCAGGCTGCTCCTGGGCCTCCAGGGTAGGGCAAGTGGAGAGACACTGCTGAGCCCCAAGGACTTCGTTAAATGGTTCCCTCCACCTCCTACTGCTTCGAAGGGGCTTGTCCTTGAGGCCAGGCTGGGCAGAGAAAGGGAGACACAAAGGGTTGGGGAACAGGAGCTCCCATGCAGCTTCAGGGTTGGCAGCAAGTGCCCCGGGATTTACCCCGTGCTGGAGGATGCTGGGGAGGTGGGATTTATCCCTTTCCTGCCTGGCTCTGTTTTCTCAGTCTATGACGAAGATAACAATAGATGGTTCCTGTCTCACAGATTTATGATAAAAATTAAAGGAGATGGGCCGGGCGCGGTGGCTTATGCCTGTAATCCCATCACTTTGGGAGGCTGAGGCGGGTGGATCACTTGAGGCCAGGGATTCAAGACCAGCTTGGCCAACATGGTGAAACCTCGTCTCTACTAAAAATACAAAAATTAGCCGGGTGTGGTGGCATATGCCTGTAATCCCAGTTACTAAGGAGGCTGAGGCACTAGGATTGCTTGAACCCCGGGGGTGGAGTTGTATTGAGTTGTGATTGTGCCACTGCACTCCAGCCTGGGTGACAGAGTGAGACTGTGTCTCAAACAAAAAACAACAACAACAACAAAAACAAATAAAGGAGATGACCCAGGTCAAGGATTTAGAAGAGTGCCTGGCACATATTAAACACTTGAGGCCGGATACAGTGGCTCACACCTGTAACCCCAGTGCTTTGGGAGGCCAAGGCAGGAGAATTGCTTGAGGCAAGGAGTTCGAGACCAGCCTGGGCAACATAGTGAGACCCTGTCTCTACAAAAAAATTAAAAAACAAAAATTAGCTGGATGTGGTGGCTTGCACCTGTAGTCCCAGTTCCTCGGGAGGCTGAGGCAGGAGGATCACTTGAGCCCAGGAGTTTCAGGCTGCAGTGAGCTATGATTGTGCCTCTGCACTCCAGCTTGGCTGACTGAGCCAGATCCTCTTTCTAAAAAAATAAGAATAAAACACTTGAATACACAGAGAGAGGCTTTGGAACAAGATTTAAGGAAATGCAGTTCTTTGTGTTGTTGGCCTCTTGCTTACAAACTGGGTAACTATTTTCAGAGCTAGTTTGATGCTGCCTTTGGCCCCCTCCCACTAGGTAGTTGGTCCCTTACCAATAGCTTCCACAGGCCACTAAAGCTAGCAGTGGGGTACCCATGACCCTGTGTGTGGAGCTCATCCCAAATAGAGCAGGAGCAATGGACAGCATTGGGAAGCAGAAAACTACAGCTGGTGGGGTAGGCTGGACGCTGGCCAAGCGTCACATGATCAGCTCTCAATGGGCATAGGAATGCATCAGGCGCAGGGGGCGGGAAAGGGACGGACATGGGCAGACAGAGCATGCCCTGGGTGAGGATTGAAGGGGACTGCTGTTTTATCTGGGCATACTTCCTTAGGACTGAGCTTTTAAAGGGGGGCAAGAAGAAGTGTGCCATCCTCTGCCCTCCCCAAGCACCTTACCCAATACCCCCTACTGTGACTTGCAGATGCCCCCAAGGGTGTGAAGATCCTCCTCAGCCCCTCGGGGAGGAACATCCTTCCAGGTGAGCTGGTCACACTCACCTGCCAGGTGAACAGCAGCTACCCTGCAGTCAGTTCCATTAAGTGGCTCAAGGATGGGGTACGCCTCCAAACCAAGACTGGTGTGCTGCACCTGCCCCAGGCAGCCTGGAGCGATGCTGGCGTCTACACCTGCCAAGCTGAGAACGGCGTGGGCTCTTTGGTCTCACCCCCCATCAGCCTCCACATCTTCAGTGAGTTCTTGGGAAGGTTGCGTATTGGCCAGAGAATAGGGAGGAGCTCAGGCCTCAGGGACGGAGGGGAGACAGGGCAGGGCAGGGCCAGCAACTGGCATAACCCAGTGCTTCCTGGATGCAGGTGTGGAGTCCCAGCCCTGCCTTACCATGAGACAGGTGACAATACCCCCACGAAGGGTGGGGTGTCAGGGGGATCCTGGTGAGCAGGACAAAGAGATGCAGAGCACTCCAGGAGGCTCCCCTGTAGCAGCAGGCGGGTGGTGTAGGATGTGCAGAGATTGAGGCTGATTGGCTGAGACCCGGGGACTGTATGGGGCTGGGGCTGGAAGTTGGCTGGGACCCCCCAGCACTCCCTATGCTGCCCTTGCAGTGGCTGAGGTCCAGGTGAGCCCAGCAGGTCCCATCCTGGAGAACCAGACAGTGACACTAGTCTGCAACACACCCAATGAGGCACCCAGTGATCTCCGCTACAGCTGGTACAAGAACCATGTCCTGCTGGAGGATGCCCACTCCCATACCCTCCGGCTGCACTTGGCCACTAGGGCTGATACTGGCTTCTACTTCTGTGAGGTGCAGAACGTCCATGGCAGCGAGCGCTCGGGCCCTGTCAGCGTGGTAGTCAACCGTAAGAGGCCAGGGTGGGGTGGCACTGGACACAGTCAGAGCAGGACCAGATGGTGGAGCCCCAAGGAAGGGTTGGGGTCCTGGGCATGGGAACTTCAAGGCCACTTACCTGGAGGTGGCCTTGAGCTCATGTCCCAGCTCTGCACACCTGGGCAATGCTTTGACCTCCCTAGTTCCCTCCTATTTTATATTTGGAAGTTTAAACTTATGAAAAGTTGCAGAGAAAGACAAATAATGATTATATACCTTTAACCTAGATTTCCCATTTATTAACATTTTGGCACATTTGCTTAATCTTTCTCGCTGTCTACACAGACACACACACGCACATACATACATATAAATGTATGGATATAGACTTGCATATATACAGGTGCACTTGTGTGTATGCACATCCACTCTATGTGGACATGTGCACTTATACATATATGGACACTCTATATACATATGCATATGTTATTTATGTATCTACCTACATATTTATATTCCTGAAGTTGCA